>NC_000011.10:53374258-53531706 GCF_000001405.40 Homo sapiens | reverse complement strand
TCCGTTTGGTTTTTAGATGAAGTTATTTCCTTTACTACAGTAGGCCTCAAAGCAGTCCAAATCTCCAATCGCAGATTCTACAAAAACATTGTTTACAACCTGCTCTAACTATAGGAATGTTCAACTCTGTGAGTCGAATGCAATCATCACAAAGTAGTTTCTGAGAATGCTTCCATCTAGTTTTTATGTGAAGATTTCCTTTTCCACCACAGGACCCAAAACCCTCCAAATGTCCACTTGCAGATTCTAGAAAAAGAGGGTTTCAGAGCTGCTCTATCAAGAGGAAAGTTCAATTCCTGAAGTGGAACACAAACATCACAAAGCAGTTTCTGAGAATGCTCCTGTTTAGTTTTTCTGTGAAGATGAACCCGTTTCCAACGAAATCTTCACAGAGGTCCACATATCCACTTGCAGAATCCAAAGAAAGAGAGTTTCAAAACTGCTCCATCAACAGGATTGTTCACCTCTGTGTGTTGAATGCAGTCATCACAGGAAACATTCTGAGAATGCTTCTGTCTAGGTTTGATGTGAAGATATACCCCTTTCGAAGGAAGGCCACAAAGTGGTCCAAATATCCACTTACAGATTCTACAAAAAGAGTGTTTGAAAGCTGAACTATGAAAGCAAGGTTCAACTCTGTGAGTTGAATGCAAACATCACAAAGAAGTTTCTCAGAATGCTTCCGTGTAGTTCTGGGAAGTTTATCCCGTTTCCAACGAAATCCTCAGAGAGGTCCAAATATCCACTTGCAGATTCTACAGAAAGTGGGTTTGGAAACTGCGCCATCTAAAGCAATGTTCAGCTCTGTTTGTTCAATGCAATGATCACTAAGAATTGTCTGTGAATGCTTCCGTTTGGTTTTTAGATGAAGTTATTTCCTTTACTACAGTAGGCCTCAAAGCAGTCCAAATCTCCAATCGCAGATTCTACAAAAAGATTGTTTACAACCTGCTCTATCTATAGGAATGTTCAGCTCTGTGAGTCGAATGCAATCATCGCAAAGTAGTTTCTGAGAATGCTTCCATCTAGTTTTTATGTGAAGATTTTCCTTTTCCACACAGGCCTCAAAGCCCTCCAAATGTCCACTTGCAGATTCTAGAAAAAGAGGGTTTCAGAGCTGCTCTGTCAAGAGGAAAGTTCAATTCTTGAAGTGGAACACAAACATCACAAAGCAGTTTCTGAGAATGCTCCTGTTAATTTTTCTGTGAAGATGAACCCGTTTCCAACGAAATCTTCACAGAGGTCCACATATCCACTTGCAGAATCCAAAGAAAGAGAGTTTCAAAACTGCTCCATCAGCAGGATTGTTCACCTCTGTGAGTTGAATGCAGTCATCACAGGAAACATTCTGAGAATGCTTCTGTCTAGGTTTGATGTGAAGATATACCCGTTTCGAAGGAAGGCCACAAAGTGGTCCAAATATCCACTTGCAGATTCTACAAAAAGAGTGTTTGAAAGCTGAACTATGAAAGCAAGGTTCAACTCTGTGAGTTGAATGCAAACATCACAAAGAAGTTTCTCAGAATGCTTCCGTGTAGTTCTGGGAAGTTTATCCCGTTTCCAACGAAATCCTCAGAGAGGTCCAAATATCCACTTGCAGATTCTACAGAAAGTGTGTTTGGAAACTGCGCCATCTAAAGGAATGTTCAGCTGCTGTTAGTTCAATCCAATGATCACTAAGAATTGTCTGTGAATGCTTCCGTTTGGTTTTTAGATGAAGTTATTTCCTTTACTACAGTAGGCCTCAAAGCAGTCCAAATCTCCAATCGCAGATTCTACAAAAAGATTGTTTACAACCTGCTCTATCTATACGAATGTTCAACTCTGTGAGTCGAATGCAATCATCACAAAGTAGTTTCTGAGAATGCTTCCATCTAGTTTTTATGTGAAGATTTTCCTTTTCCACCACAGGCCTCAAAGCCCTCCAAATGTCCACTTGCAGATTCTAGAATAAGAGGGTTTCAGAGCTGCTCTGTCAAGAGGAAAGTTCAATTCCTGAAGTGGAACACAAACATCACAAAGCAGCTTCTGAGAATGCTCCTGTTTAGTTTTTCTGTGAAGATGAACCCGTTTCCAACGAAATCTTCACAGAGGTCCACATATCCACTTGCAGAATCCAAAGAAAGAGAGTTTCAAAACTGCTCCATCAGCAGGATTGTTCACCTCTGTGAGTTGAATGCAGTCATCACAGGAAACACTCTGAGAATGCTTCTGTCTAGGTTTGATGTGAAGATATACCCGTTTCGAAGGAAGGCCACAAAGTGGTCCAAATATCCACTTGCAGATTCTACAAAAAGAGGGTTTGAAAGCTGAACTATGAAAGCAAGGTTCAACTCTGTGAGTTGAATGCAAACATCACAAAGAAGTTTCTCAGAATGCTTCCGTGTAGTTCTGGGAAGTATATCCCGTTTCCAACGAAATCCTCAGAGAGGTCCAAATATCCACTTGCAGATTCTACAGAAAGTGTGTTTGGAAACTGCGCCATCTAAGGGAATGTTCAGCTCTGTTAGTTCAATCCAATGATCACTAAGAATTGTCTGTGAATGCTTCCGTTTGGTTTTTAGATGAAGTTATTTCCTTTACTACAGTAGGCCTCAAAGCAGTCCCAATCTCCAATCGCAGATTCTACAAAAAGATTGTTTACAACCTGCTCTATCTATAGGAATGTTCAACTCTGTGAGTCGAATGCAATCATCACAAAGTAGTTTCTGAGAATGCTTCCATCTAGTTTTTATGTGAAGATTTTCCTTTTCCACCACAGGCCTCAAAGCCCTCCAAATGTCCACTTGCAGATTCTAGAATAAGAGGGTTTCAGAGCTGCTCTGTGAAGAGGAAAGTTCAATTCCTGAAGTGGAACACAAACATCACAAAGCAGTTTCTGAGAATGTTTCTGTTTAGTTTTTATGTGAAGATGAACCCGTTTCCAACGAAATCTTCAAAGAGGTCCACATATCCACTTGCAGATTCCAAAGAAAGAGAGTTTCAAAACTGCTCCATCAGCAGGATTGTTCACCTCTGTGCGTTGAATGCAGTCATCACAGGAAACATTCTGAGAATGCTTTTCTGTCTAGGTTTGATGTGAAGATATACCCGTTTCGAAGGAAGGCCACAAAGTGGTCCAAATATCCACTTGCAGATTCTACAAAAAGAGTGTTTGAAAGCTGAACTATGAAAGCAAGGTTCAACTCTGTGAGTTGAATGCAAACATCACAAAGAAGTTTCTCACAATGCTTCCCTGTAGTTCTGGGAAGTTTATCCCGTTTCCAACGAAATCCTCAGAGAAGTCCAAATATCCACTTGCAGATTCTACAGAAAGTGGGTTTGGAAACTGCTCCATCTAAAGGAATGTTCAGCTCTGTTAATTCAATGCAATGATCACTAAGAATTGTCTGTGAATGCTTCCGTTTGGTTTTTAGATGAAGTTATTTCCTTTACTACAGTAGGCCTCAAAGCAGTCCAAATCTCCAATCGCAGATTCTACAAAAAGATTGTTTACAACCTGCTCTATCTATAGGAATGTTCAACTCTGTGAGTCGAATGCAATCATCACAAAGTAGTTTCTGAGAATGCTTCCATGCTAGTTTTTATGTGAAGATTTTCCTTTTCCACCACAGGCCTCAAAGCCCTCCAAATGTCCACTTGCAGATTCTAGAAAAAGAGGGTTTCAGAGCTGCTCTGTCAAGAGGAAAGTTCAATTCTTGAAGTGGAACACAAACATCACAAAGTAGTTTCTGAGAATGCTTCTGTTTAGTTTTTCTGTGAAGATGAACCCGTTTCCAACAAAATCTTCACAGAGGTCCACATATCCACTTGCAGAATCCAAAGAAAGGGAGTTTCAAAACTGCTCCATCAGCAGGATTGTTCACCTCTGTGAGTTGAATGCAGTCATCACAGGAAACATTCTGAGAATGCTTCTGTCTAGGTTTGATGTG
The DNA here is from genome assembly GCF_000001405.40 of Homo sapiens. NCBI lineage: Eukaryota > Metazoa > Chordata > Mammalia > Primates > Hominidae > Homo > Homo sapiens. The sequence goes on along the minus strand of NC_000011.10, from coordinate 53,527,774 downwards.
AAGATATTCCCGTTTCGAAGGAAGGCCACAAAGTGGTCCAAATATCCACTTGCAGATTCTACAAAAAGAGTGTTTGGAAGCTGAACTATGAAAGCAAGGTTCAAGTCTGTGAGTTGAATGCAACATCACAAAGAAGTTTCTGAGAATGCTTCCGTGTAGTTCTGGGAAGTTTATCCCGTTTCCAACGAAATCCTCAGAGAAGTCCAAATATCCACTTGCAGATTCTACTCAAAGTGTGTTTGGAAACTGCTCTATCTAAAGAAATGTTCAGCTCTGTTAGTTCAATCCAATGATCACTAAGAATTGTCTGTGAATGCTTCCGTTTGGTTTTTAGATGAAGTTATTTCCTTTACTGCAGTAGGCCTCAAAGCAGTCCAAATCTCCAATCGCAGATTCTACAAAAAGATTGTTTACAACCTGCTCTATCTATAGGAATGTTCAACTCTGTGAGTCGAATGCAATCATCACAAAGTAGTTTCTGAGAATGCTTCCATCTAGTTTTTATGTGAAGATTTTCCTTTTCCACCACAGGCCTCAAAGCCCTCCAAATGTCCACTTGCAGATTCTAGAAAAAGAGGGTTTCAGAGCTGCTCTGTCAAGAGGAAAGTTCAATTCTTGAAGTGGAACACAAACATCACAAAGCAGTTTCTGAGAATGCTCCTGTTTAGTTTTTCTGTGAAGATGAACCCGTTTCCAACGAAATCTTCACAGAGGTCCACATATCCACTTGCAGAATCCAAAGAAAGAGAGTTTCCAAACTGCTCCATCAGCAGGATTGTTCACCTCTGTGAGTTGAATGCAGTCATCACAGGAAACATTCTGAGAATGCTTCTGTCTAGGTTTGATGTGAAGATATACCCGTTTCGAAGGAAGGCCAGAAAGTGGTCCAAATATCCACTTGCAGATTCTACAAAAAGAGTGTTTGAAAGCTGAACTATGAAAGCAAGGTTCAACTCTGTGAGTTGAATGCAAACATCACAAAGAAGTTTCTCAGAATGCTTCCGTGTAGTTCTGGGAAGTTTATCCCGTTTCCAACGAAATCCTCAGAGAGGTCCAAATATCCACTTGCAGATTCTACAGAAAGTGTGTTTGGAAACTGCTCCATCTAAGGGAATGTTCAGCTCTGTTAGTTCAATCCAATGATCACTAAGAATTGTCTGTGAATGCTTCCGTTTGGCTTTTAGATGAAGTTATTTCCTTTACTACAGTAGGCCTCAAAGCAGTCCAAATCTCCAATCGCAGATTCTACGAAAAGATTGTTTACAACCTGCTCTATCTATAGGAATGTTCAACTACTGTGAGTCGAATGCAATCATCACAAAGTAGTTTCTGAGAATGCTTCCATCTAGTTATTATGTGAAGATTTTCCTTTTCCACCACAGGCCTCAAAGCCCTCCAAATGTCCACTTGCAGATTCTAGAATAAGAGGGTTTCAGAGCTGCTCTGTCAAGAGGAAAGTTCAATTCCTGAAGTGGAACACAAACATCACAAAGCAGTTTCTGAGAATGCTCCTGTTTCGTTTTTCTGTGAAGATGAACCCGTTTCCAACGAAATCTTCACAGAGGTCCACATATCCACTTGCAGAATCCAAAGAAAGAGAGTTTCAAAACTGCTCCATCAGCAGGATTGTTCACCTCTGTGAGTTGAATGCAGTCATCACAGGAAACATTCTGAGAATGTTTCTGTCTAGGTTTGATGTGAAGATATACCCGTTTCGAAGGAAGGCCACAAATTGGTCCAAATATCCACTTGCAGATTCTACAAAAAGAGTGTTTGAAAGCTGAACTATGAAAGCAAGGTTCAACTCTGTGAGTTGAATGCAAACATCACAAAGAATTTTCTCAGAATGCTTCCGTGTAGTTCTGGGAAATTTATCCCTTTTCCAACGAAATCCTCAGAGAGGTCCAAATATCCACTTGCAGATTCTACAGAAAGTGTGTTTGGAAACTGCTTCATCTAAAGGAATGTTCAGCTCTGTTAGTTCATTCCAATGATCACTAAGAATTGTCTGTGAATGCTTCCGTTTGGTTTTAAGATGAAGTTATTTCCTTTACTACAGTAGGCCTCAAAGCAGTCCAAATTTCCAATCGCAGATTCTACAAAATGATTGTTTACAACCTGCTCTATCTATAGGAATGTTCAACTCTGTGAGTCGAATGCAATCATCACAAAGTAGTTTCTGAGAATGCTTCCATCTAGTTTTTATGTGAAGGTTTTCCTTTTCCACCACAGGCCTCAAAGCCCTCCAAATGTCCACTTGCAGATTCTAGAAAAAGAGGGTTTCAGAGCTGCTCTGTCAAGAGGAAAGTTCAATTCCCTGAAGTGGAACAAAAACATCACAAAGCAGTTTCTGAGAATGCTCCTGTTTAGTTTTTCTGTGAAGATGAACCCGTTTCCAACGAAATCTTCACAGAGGTCCACATATCCACTTGCAGAATCCAAAGAAAGAGAGTTTCAAAACTGCTCCATCAGCAGGATTGTTCACCTCTGTGAGTTGAATGCAGTCATCACAGGAAACATTCTGAGAATGCTTCTGTCTAGGTTTGATGTGAAGATATACCCGTTTCGAAGGAAGGCCACAAAGTGGTCCAAATATCCACTTGCAGATTCTACAAAAAGAGTGTTTGAAAGCTGAACTATGAAAGCAAGGTTCAACTCTGTGAGTTGAATGCAAACATCACAAAGAAGTTTCTCACAATGCTTCCGTGTAGTTCTGGGAAGTTTATCCCGTTTCCAACGAAATCCTCAGAGAGGTCCAAATATCCACTTGCAGATTCTACAGAAAGTGTGTTTGGAAACTGCTCCATCTAAAGGAATGTTCAGCTCTGTTAGTTCAATCCAATGATCACTAAGAATTGTCTGTGAATGCTTCCGTTTGGTTTTTAGATGAAGTTATTTCCTTTACTACAGTAGGCCTCAAAGCAGTCCAAATCTCCAATCGCAGATTCTACAAAAAGATTGTTTACAACCTGCTCTATGTATAGGAATGTTCAAATCTGTGAGTCGAATGCAATCATCACAAAGTAGTTTCTGAGAATGCTTCCATCTAGTTTTTATGTGAAGATTTTCCTTTTCCACCACAGGCCTCAAAGCCCTCCAAATGTCCACTTGCAGATTCTAGAAAAAGAGGGTTTCAGAGCTGCTCTGTCAAGAGGAAAGTTCAATTCTTGAAGTGGAACACAAACATCACAAAGTAGTTTCTGAGAATGCTCCTGTTTAGTTTTTCTGTGAAGATGAACCCGTTTCCAACGAAATCTTCACAGAGGTCCACATATCCACTTGCAGAATCCAAAGAAAGAGAGTTTCAAAACTGCTCCATCAACAGGATTGTTCACCTCTGTGAGTTGAATGCAGTCATCACAGGAAACATTCTGAGAATGCTTCTGTCTAGGTTTGATGTGAAGATATACCCGTTTCGAAGGAAGGCTACAAAGTGGTCCAAATATCCACTTGCAGATTCTACAAAAAGAGTGTTTGAAAGCTGAACTATGAAAGCAAGGTTCAACTCTGTGAGTTGAATGCAAACATCACAAAGAAGTTTCTCAGAATGCTTCCGTGTAGTTCTGGGAAGTTTATCCCGTTTCCAACGAAATCCTCAGAGAGGTCCAAATATCCACTTGCAGATTCTACAGAAAGTGTGTTTGGAAACTGCTCCGTCTAAAGGAATGTTCAGCTCTGTTAGTTCAATCCAATGATCACTAAGAATTGTCTGTGAATGCTTCCGTTTGGTTTTTAGATGAAGTTATTTCCTTTACTACAGTAGGCCTCAAAGCAGTCCAAATCTCCAATCGCAGATTCTACAAAAAGATTGTTTACAACCTGCTCTATCTATAGGAATGTTCAACTCTGTGAGTCGAATGCAATCATCACAAAGTAGTTTCTGAGAATGCTTCCATCTAGTTTTTATGTGAAGATTTTCCTTTTCCACCACAGGCCTCAAAGCCCTCCAAATGTCCACTTGCAGATTCTAGAATAAGAGGGTTTCAGAGCTGCTCTGTCAAGAGGAAAGTTCAATTCCTGAAGTGGAACACAAACATCACAAAGCAGTTTCTGAGAATGCTCCTGTTTAGTTTTTCTGTGAAGATGAACCCGTTTCCAACGAAATCTTCACAGAGGTCCACATATCCACTTGCAGAATCCAAAGAAAGAGAGTTTCAAAACTGCTCCATCAGCAGGATTGTTCACCTCTGTGAGTTGAATGCAGTCATCACAGGAAACATTCTGAGAATGCTTCTGTCTAGGTTTGATGTGAAGATATACCCGTTTCGAAGGAAGGCCACAAAGTGGTCCAAATATCCACTTGCAGATTCTACAAAAAGAGTGTTTGAAAGCTGAACTATGAAAGCAAGGTTCAACTCTGTGAGTTGAATGCAAACATCACAAAGAAGTTTCTCAGAATGCTTCCGTGTAGTTCTGGGAAGTTTATCCCGTTTCCAACGAAATCCTCAGAGAGGTCCAAATATACACTTGCAGATTCTACAGAAAGTGTGTTTGGAAACTGCTCCATCTAAAGGAATGTTCAGCTCTGTTAGTTCAATGCAATGATCACTAAGGATTGTCTGTGAATGCTTCCGTTTGGTTTTTAGATGATGTTATTTCCTTTACTAGAGTAGGCCTCAAAGCAGTCCAAATCTCCAATCGCAGATTCTACAAAAAGATTGTTTACAACCTGCTCTATCTATAGGAATGTTCAACTCTGTGAGTCGAATGCAATCATCACAAAGTAGTTTCTGAGAATGCTTCCATCTAGTTTTTATGTGAAGATTTTCCTTTTCCACCACAGGCCTCAAAGCCCTCCAAATGTCCACTTGCAGATTCTAGAAAAAGAGGGTTTCAGAGCTGCTCTGTCAAGAGGAAAGTTCAATTCTTGAAGTCGAACACAAACATCACAAAGCAGTTTCTGAGAATGCTTCTGTTTAGTTTTTCTGTGAAGATGAACCCGTTTCCAACGAAATCTTCACAGAGGTCCACATATCCACTTGCAGAATCCAAAGAAAGAGAGTTTCAAAACTGCTCCATCAGCAGGATTTTTCACCTCTGTGAGTTGAATGCAGTCATCACAGGAAACATTCTGAGAATGCTTCTGTCTAGGTTTGATGTGAAGATATACCCGTTTCGAAGGAAGGCCACAAAGTGGTCCAAATATCCACTTGCAGATTCTACAAAAAGAGTGTTTCAAAGCTGAACTATGAAAGCAAGGTTCTACTCTGTGAGTTGAATGCAAACATCACAAAGAAGTTTCTCAGAATGCTTCCGTGTAGTTCTGGGAATTTTATCCCGTTTCCAACGAAATCCTCAGAGAGGTCCAAATATCCACTTGCAGATTCTACAGAAAGTGTGTTTGGAAACTGCGCCATCTAAAGGAATGTTCAGCTCTGTTAGTTCAATGCAATGATCACTAAGAATTGTCTGTGAATGCTTCCGTTTGGTTTTTAGATGAAGTTATTTCCTTTACTACAGTAGGCCTCAAAGCAGTCCAAATCTCCAATCGCAGATTCTACAAAAACATTGTTTACAACCTGCTCTATCTATAGGAATGTTCAACTCTGTGAGTCGAATGCAATCATCACAAAGTAGTTTCTGAGAATGCTTCCATCTAGTTTTTATGTGAAGATTTTCCTTTTCCACCACAGGCCTCAAAGCCCTCCAAATGTCCACTTGCAGATTCTAGAATAAGAGGGTTTCAGAGCTGCTCTGTCAAGAGGAAAGTTCAATTCCTGAAGTGGAACACAAACATCACAAAGCAGTTTCTGAGAATGCTTCTGTTTAGTTTTTCTGTGAAGATGAACCCGTTTCCAACGAAATCTTCACAGAGGTCCACATATCCACTTGCAGAATCCAAAGAAAGAGAGTTTCAAAACTGCTCCATCAGCAGTATTGTTCACCTCTGTGAGTTGAATGCAGTCATCACAGGAAACATTCTGAGAATGCTTCTGTCTAGGTTTGATGTGAAGATATACCCGTTTCGAAGGAAGGCCACAAAATGGTCCAAATATCCACTTGCAGATTCTACAAAAAGAGTGTTTGAAAGCTGAACTATGAAAGCAAGGTTCAACTCTGTGAGTTGAATGCAAACATCACAAAGAAGTTTCTCAGCATGCTTCCGTGTAGTTCTGGGAAGTTTATCCCGTTTCCAACGAAATCCTCAGAGAAGTCCAAATATCCACTTGCAGATTCTACAGAAAGTGTGTTTGGAAACTGCTCCATCTAAAGGAATGTTCAGCTCTGTTAGTTCAATCCAGTGATCACTAAGAATTGTCTGTGAATGCTTCCGTTTGGTTTTTAGATGAAGTTATTTCCTTTACTACAGTAGGCCTCAAAGCAGTCCAAATCTCCAATCGCAGATTCTACAAAAAGATTGTTTACAACCTGCTCTATCTATAGGAATGTTCAACTCTGTGAGTCGAATGCAATCATCACAAAGTAGTTTCTGAGAATGCTTCCATCTAGTTTTTATGTGAAGGTTTTCCTTTTCCACCACAGGCCTCAAAGCCCTCCAAATGTCCACTTGCAGATTCTAGAAAAAGAGGGTTTCAGAGCTGCTCTGTCAAGAGGAAAGTTCAATTCCCTGAAGTGGAACAAAAACATCACAAAGCAGTTTCTGAGAATGCTTCTGTTTAGTTTTTCTGTGAAGATGAACCCGTTTCCAACGAAATCTTCACAGAGGTCCACATATCAACTTGCAGAATCCAAAGAAAGAGAGTTTCAAAACTGCTCCATCAACAGGATTGTTCACCTCTGTGAGTTGAATGCAGTCATCACAGGAAACATTCTGAGAATGCTTCTGTCTAGGTTTGATGTGAAGATATACCCGTTTCGAAGGAAGGCCACAAAGTGGTCCAAATATCCACTTGCAGATTCTACAAAAAGAGTGTTTGAAAGCTGAACTATGAAAGCAAGGTTCAACTCTGTGAGTTGAATGCAAACATCACAAAGAAGTTTCTCAGAATACATCCGTGTAGTTCTGGGAAGTTTATCCCGTTTCCAACGAAATCCTCAGAGAGGTCCAAATATCCAGTTGCAGATTCTACAGAAAGTGTGTTTGGAAACTGCGCCATCTAAAGGAATGTTCAACTCTGTTAGTTCAATCCAATGATCACTAAGAATTGTCTGTGAATGCTTCCGTTTGGTTTTTAGATGAAGTTATTTCCTTTACTACAGTAGGCTTCAAAGCAGTCCAAATCTCCAATCGCAGATTCTACAAAAAGATTGTTTACAACCTGCTCTATCTATAGGAATGTTCAACTCTGTGAGTCGAATGCAATCATCACAAAGTAGTTTCTGAGAATGCTTCCATCTAGTTTTTATGTGAAGATTTTCCTTTTCCACCACAGGCCTCAAAGCCCTCCAAATGTCCACTTGCAGATTCTAGAAAAAGAGGGTTTCAGAGCTGCTCTGTTAAGAGGAAAGTTCAATCTCTTGAAGTGGAACACAAACATCACAAAGCAGTTTCTGAGAATGCTTCTGTTTAGTTTTTCTGTGAAGATGAACCCGTTTCCAACGAAATCTTCACAGAGGTCCACATATCCACTTGCAGAATCCAAAGAAAGAGAGTTTCAAAACTGCTCCATCAGCAGGATTGTTCACCTCTGTGAGTTGAATGCAGTCATCACAGGAAACATTCTGAGAATGCTTCTGTCTAGGTTTGATGTGAAGATATACCCGTTTCGAAGGAAGGCCACAAAGTGGTCCAAATATCCACTTGCAGATTCTACAAAAAGAGTGTTTGAAAGCTGAACTATGAAAGCAAGGTTCAACTCTGTGAGTTGAATGCAAACATCACAAAGAAGTTTCTCAGAATGCTTCCGTGTAGTTCTGGGAAGTTTATCCCGTTTCCAACGAAATCCTCAGAGAGGTCCAAATATCCACTTGCAGATTCTACAGAAAGTGTGTTTGGAAACTGCGCCATCTAAAGGAATGTTCAGCTCTGTTAGTTCAATGCAATGATCACTAAGAATTGTCTGTGAATGCTTCCGTTTGGTTTTTAGGTGAAGTTATTTCCTTTACTACAGTAGGCCTCAAAGCAGTCCAAATCTCCAATCGCAGATTCTACAAAAAGATTGTTTACAACCTTCTCTATCTATAGGAATGTTCAACTCTGTGAGTCGAATGCAATCATCACAAAGTAGTTTCTGAGAATGCTTCCATCTAGTTTTTATGTGAAGATTTTCCTTTTCCACCACAGGCCTCAAAGCCCTCCAAATGTCCACTTGCAGATTCTAGAAAAAGAGGGTTTCAGAGCTGCTCTGTCAAGAGGAAAGTTCAATTCCTGAAGTCGAACACAAACATCATACAGCAGTTTCTGAGAATGCTCCTGTTTAGTTTTTCTGTGAAGATGAACCCGTTTCCAATGAAATCTTCACAGAGGTCCACATATCCACTTGCAGAATCCAAAGAAAGAGAGTTTCAAAACTGCTCCAACAGCAGGATTGTTCACCTCTGTGAGTTGAATGCAGTCATCACAGGAAACATTCTGAGAATGCTTCTGTCTAGGTTTGATGTGAAGATATACCCGTTTCGAAGGAAGGCCACAAAGTGGTCCAAATATCCACTTGCAGATTCTACAAAAAGAGTGTTTGAAAGCTGAACTATGAAAGCAAGGTTCAATTGCTGTGAGTTGAATGCAAACATCACAAAGAAGTTTCTCAGAATGCTTCCGTGTAGTTCTGGGAATTTTATCCCGTTTCCAACGAAATCCTCAGAGAGGTCCAAATATCCACTTGCAGATTCTACAGAAAGTGTGTTTGGAAACTGCGCCATCTAAAGGAATGTTCAGCTCTGTTAGTTCAATGCAATGATCACTAAGAATTGTCTGTGAATGCTTCCGTTTGGTTTTTAGATGAAGTTATTTCCTTTACTACAGTAGGCTTCAAAGCAGTCCAAATCTCCAATCGCAGATTCTACAAAAAGATTGTTTACAACCTGCTTTATCTATAGGAATGTTCAACTCTGTGAGTCGAATGCAATCATCACAAAGGAGTTTCTGAGAATGCTTCCATCTAGTTTTTATGTGAAGATTTTCCTTTTCCACCACAGGCCTCAAAGCCATCCAAATGTCCACTTGCAGATTCTAGAAAAAGAGGGTTTCAGAGCTGTTCTGTCAAGAGGAAAGTTCAATTCTTGAAGTGGAACACAAACATCACAAAGCAGTTTCTGAGAATGCTCCTGTTTAGTTTTTCTGTGAAGATGAACCCGTTTCGAAGGAAGGCCCCAAAGTGGTCCAAATATCCACTTGCAGATTCTACAAAAAGGGTGTTTGAAAGCTGAACTATGAAAGCAAGGTTCAACTCTGTGAGTTGAATGCAAACATCACAAAGAAGTTTCTCAGAATGCTTCCGTGTAGTTCTGGGAAGTTTATCCCTTTTCCAACGAAATCCTCAGAGAGGTCCAAATATCCACTTGCAGAATCTACAGAAAGTGTGTTTGGAAACTGCTCCATCTAAAGGAATGTTCAGCTCTGTTTGTTCAATCCAATGATCACTAAGAATTGTCTGTGAATGCTTCCGTTTGGTTTTTAGATGAAGTTATTTCCTTTACTACAGTAGGCCTCAAAGCAGTCCAAATCTCCAATTGCAGATTCTACAAAAAGATTGTTTACAACCTGCTCTATCTATAGGAATGTTCAACTCTGTGAGTCGAATGCAATCATCACAAAGTAGTTTCTGAGAATGCTTCCATCTAGTTTTTATGTGAAGATTTTCCTTTTCCACCACAGGCCTCAAAGCCCTCCAAATGTCCACTTGCAGATTCTAGAAAAAGAGGGTTTTAGAGCTGCTCTGTCAAGAGGAAAGTTCAATTCTTGAAGTGGAACACAAACATCACAAAGCAGTTTCTGAGAATGCTTCTGTTTAGTTTTTCTGTGAAGATGAACCCGTTTCCAACGAAATCTTCACAGAGGTCCACATATCCACTTGCAGAATCCAAAGAAAGAGAGTTTCAAAACTGCTCCATCAACAGGATTGTTCACCTCTGTGAGTTGAATGCAGTCATCACAGGAAACATTCTGAGAATGCTTCTGTCTAGGTTTGATGTGAAGATATACCCGTTTCGAAGGAAGGCCACAAAGTGGTCCAAATATCCACTTGCAGATTCTACAAAAAGAGTGTTTGAAAGCTGAACTATGAAAGCAAGGTTCAACTCTGTGAGTTGAATGCAAACATCACAAAGAAGTTTCTCAGAATGCTTCCGTGTAGTTCTGGGAAGTTTATCCCGTTTCCAACGAAATCCTCAGAGAGGTCCAAATATCCACTTGCAGATTCTACAGAAAGTGTGTTTGGAAACTGCTCCATCTAAAGGAATGTTCAGCTCTGTTAGTTCAATCCAATGATCACTAAGAATTGTCTGTGAATGCTTCCGTTTGGTTTTTAGATGAAGTTCTTTCCTTTACTGCAGTAGGCCTCAAAGCAGTCCAAATCTCCAATCGCAGATTCTACAAAAAGATTGTTTACAACCTGCTCTATCTATAGGAATGTTCAACTCTGTGAGTCGAATGCAATCATCACAAAGTAGTTTCTGAGAATGCTTCCATCTAGTTTTTATGTGAAGATTTTCCTTTTGCACCACAGGCCTCAAAGCCCTCCAAATGTCCACTTGCAGATTCTAGAAAAAGAGGGTTTCAGAGCTGCTCTGTCAAGAGGAAAGTTCAATTCTTGATGTGGAACACAAACATCACAAAGCAGTTTCTGAGAATGCTCCTGTTTAGTTTTTCTGTGAAGATGAACCCGTTTCCAACGAAATCTTCACAGAGGTCCACATATCCACCTGCAGAATCCAAAGAAAGAGAGTTTCAAAACTGCTCCATCAGCAGGATTGTTCACCTCTGTGAGTTGAATGCAGTCATCACAGGAAACATTCTGAGAATGCTTCTGTCTAGGTTTGATGTGAAGATATACCCGTTTCGAAGGAAGGCCAGAAAGTGGTCCAAATATCCACTTGCAGATTCTACAAAAAGAGTGTTTGAAAGCTGAACTATGAAAGCAAGGTTCAACTCTGTGAGTTGAATGCAAACATCACAAAGAAGTTTCTCAGAATGCTTCCGTGTAGTTCTGGGAAGTTTATCCCGTTTCCAACGAAATCCTCAGAGAGGTCCAAATATCCACTTGCAGATTCTACGGAAAGTGTGTTTGGAAACTGCGCCATCTAAAGCAATGTTCAGCTCTGTTAGTTCAATGCAATGATCACTAAGAATTGTCTGTGAATGCTTCCGTTTGATTTTTAGATGAAGTTATTTCCTTTACTACAGTAGGCCTCAAAGCAGTCCAAATCTCCAATCGCAGATTCTACAAAAAGATTGTTTACAACCTGCTCTATCTATAGGAATGTTCAACTCTGTGAGTCGAATGCAATCATCACAAAGTAGTTTCTGAGAATGCTTCCATCTAGTTTTTATGTGAATATTTTCCTTTTGCACCACAGGCCTCAAAGCCCTCCAAATGTCCACTTGCAGATTCTAGAAAAAGAGGGTTTCAGAGCTGCTCTGTCAAGAGGAAAGTTCAATTCTTGAAGTGGAACACAAACATCACAAAGCAGTTTCTGAGAATGCTTCTGTTTAGTTTTTCTGTGAAGATGAACCCGTTTCCAACGAAATCTTCACAGAGGTCCACATATCCACTTGCAGAATCCAAAGAAAGAGAGTTTCAAAACTGCTCCATCAGCAGGATTGTTCACCTCTGTGAGTTGAATGCAGTCATCACAGGAAACATTCTGAGAATGCTTCTGTCTAGGTTTGATGTGAAGATATACCCTTTTCGAAGGAAGGCCACAAAGTGGTCCAAATATCCACTTGCAGATTCTACAAAAAGAGTGTTTGAAAGCTGAACTATGAAAGCAAGGTGCAAATCCTGTGAGTTGAATGCAAACATCACAAAGAAGTTTCTCAGAATGCTTTCCGTGTAGTTCTGGGAAGTTTAGCCCGTTTCCAACGAAATCCTCAGAGAGGTCCAAATATCCAGTGGCAGATTCTACAGAAAGTGTGTTTGGAAACTGCGCCATCTAAAGGAATGTTCAGCTCTGTTAGTTCAATCCAATGATCACTAAGAATTGTCTGTGAATGCTTCCGTTTGGTTTTTAGATGAAGTTATTTCCTTTACTACAGTAGGCCTCAAAGCAGTCCAAATCTCCAATCGCAGATTCTACAAAAAGATTGTTTACAACCTGCTCTATCTATAGGAATGTTCAACTCTGTGAGTCGAATGCAATCATCACAAAGTAGTTTCTGAGAATGCTTCCATCTAGTTTTTATGTGAAGATTTTCCTTTTCCACCACAGGCCTCAAAGCCCTCCAAATGTCCACTTGCAGATTCTAGAAAAAGAGGGTTTCAGAGCTGCTCTGTCAAGAGGAAAGTTCAATTCTTGAAGTGGAACAGAAACATCACAAAGCAGTTTCTGGGAATGCTTCTGTTTAGTTTTTCTGTGAAGATGAACCCGTTTCCAACGAAATCTTCACAGAGGTCCACATATCCACTTGCAGAATCCAAAGAAAGAGAGTTTCAAAACTGCTCCATCAGCAGGATTGTTCACCTCTGTGAGTTGAATGCAGTCATCACAGGAAACATTCTGAGAATGCTTCTGTCTAGGTTTGATGTGAAGATATACCCGTTTCGAAGGAAGGCCACAAAGTGGTCCAAATATCCACTTGCAGATTCTACAAAAAGAGTGTTTGAAAGCTGAACTATGAAAGCAAGGTTCAACTCTGTGAGTTGAATGCAAACATCACAAAGAAGTTTCTCAGAATGCTTCCGTGTAGTTCTGGGAAGTTTATCCCGTTTCCAACGAAATCCTCAGAGAAGTCCAAATATCCACTTGCAGATTCTACAGAAAGTGTGTTTGGAAACTGCTCCATCTAAAGGAATGTTCAGCTCTGTTAGTTCAATCCAATGATCACTAAGAATTGTCTGTGAATGCTTCCGTTTGGTTTTTAGATGAAGTTATTTCCTTTACTACAGTAGGCCTCAAAGCAGTCCAAATCTCCAATCGCAGATTCTACAAAAAGATTGTTTACAACCTGCTCTACTTATAGGAATGTTCAACTCTGTGAGTCGAATGCAATCATCACAAAGTAGTTTCTGAGAATGCTTCCATCTAGTTTTTATGTGAAGATTTTCCTTTTCCACCACAGGCCTCAAAGCCCTCCAAATGTCCACTTGCAGATTCTAGAATAAGAGGGTTTCAGAGCTGCTCTGTCAAGAGGAAAGTTCAATTCTTGAAGTGGAACACAAACATCACAAAGCAGTTTCTGAGAATGCTTCTGTTTAGTTTTTCTGTGAAGATGAACCCGTTTCCAACGAAATCTTCACAGAGGTCCACATATCCACTTGCAGAATCCAAAGAAAGAGAGTTTCAAAACTGCTCCATCAGCAGGATTGTTCACCTCTGTGAGTTGAATGCAGTCATCACAGGAAACATTCTGAGAATGCTTCTGTCTAGGTTTGATGTGAAGATATACCCGTTTCGAAGGAAGGCCACAAAGTGGTCCAAATATCCACTTGCAGATTCTACAAAAAGAGTGTTTGAAAGCTGAACTATGAAAGCAAGGTTCAACTCTGTGAGTTGAATGCAAACATCACAAAGAAGTTTCTCACAATGCTTCCGTGTAGTTCTGGGAAGTTTATCCCGTTTCCAACGAAATCCTCAGAGAGGTCCAAATATCCACTTGCAGATTCTACAGAAAGTGTGTTTGTAAACTGCGCCATCTAAAGGAATGTTCAGCTCTGTTAGTTCAATGCAATGATCACTAAGAATTGTCTGTGAATGCTTCCGTTTGGTTTTTAGATGAAGTTATTTCCTTTACTACAGTAGGCCTCAAAGCAGTCCAAATCTCCAATCGCAGATTCTACAAAAAGATTGTTTACAACCTGCTCTATCTATAGGAATGTTCAACTCTGTGAGTCGAATGCAATCATCACAAAGTAGTTTCTGAGAATGCTTCCATCTAGTTTTTATGTGAAGATTTTCCTTTTCCACCACAGGCCTCAAAGCCCTCCAAATGTCCACTTGCAGATTCTAGAATAAGAGGGTTTCAGAGCTGCTCTGTCAAGAGGAAAGTTCAATTCCTGAAGTGGAACACAAACATCACAAAGCAGTTTCTGAGAATGCTCCTGTTTAGTTTTTCTGTGAAGATGAACCCGTTTCCAACGAAATCTTCACAGAGGTCCACATATCCACTTGCAGAATCCAAAGAAAGAGAGTTTCAAAAGTGCTCCATCAGCAGGATTGTTCACCTCTGTGAGTTGAATGCAGTCATCACAGGAAACATTCTGAGAATGCTTCTGTCTAGGTTTGATGTGAAGATATACCCGTTTCGAAGGAAGGCCACAAAGTGGTCCAAATATCCACTTGCAGATTCTACAAAAAGAGTGTTTGAAAGCTGAACTATGAAAGCAAGGTTCAACTCTGTGAGTTGAATGCAAACATCACAAAGAAGTTTCTCAGAATGCTTCCGTGTAGTTCTGGGAAGTTTATCCCGTTTCCAACGAAATCCTCAGAGAAGTCCAAATATCCACTTGCAGATTCTACAGAAAGTGGGTTTGGAAACTGCTCCATCTAAAGGAATGTTCAGCTCTGTTAGTTCAATCCAATGATCACTAAGAATTGTCTGTGAATGCTTCCGTTTGGTTTTTAGATGAAGTTATTTCCTTTACTACAGTAGGCCTGAAAGCAGTCCAAATCTCCAATCGCAGATTCTACAAAAAGATTGTTTACAACCTGCTCTATCTATAGGAATGTTCAACTCTGTGAGTCGAATGCAATCATCACAAAGTAGTTTCTGAGAATGCTCCATCTAGTTTTTATGTGAAGATTTTCCTTTTCCACCACAGGCCTCAAAGCCCTCCAAATGTCCACTTGCAGATTCTAGAAAAAGAGGGTTTCAGAGCTGCTCTGTCAAGAGGAAAGTTCAATTCTTGAAGTGGAACACAAACATCACAAAGCAGTTTCTGAGAATGCTCCCTGTTTAGTTTTTCTGTGAAGATGAACCCGTTTCCAACGAAATCTTCACAGAGGTCCACATATCCACTTGCAGAATCCAAAGAAAGAGAGTTTCAAAACTGCTCCATCAGCAGGGATTGTTCACCTCTGTGAGTTGAATGCAGTCATCACAGGAAACATTCTGAGAATGCTTCTGTCTAGGTTTGATGTGAAGATATACCCGTTTCGAAGGAAGGCCACAAAGTGGTCCAAATATCCACTTGCAGATTCTACAAAAAGAGTGTTTGAAAGCTGAACTATGAAAGCAAGGTTCAACTCTGTGAGTTGAATGCAAACATCACAAAGAAGTTTCTCAGAATGCTTCCGTGTAGTTCTGGGAAGTTTATCCCGTTTCCAACGAAATCCTCAGAGAAGTCCAAATATCCACTTGCAGATTCTACAGAAAGTGTGTTTGGAAACTGCGCCATCTAAAGGAATGTTCAGCTCTGTTAGTTCAATGAAATGATCACTAAGAATTGTCTGTGAATGCTTCCGTTTGGTTTTTAGATGAAGTTATTTCCTTTACTACAGTAGGCCTCAAAGCAGTCCAAATCTCCAATCGGAGATTCTACAAAAAGATTGTTTACAACCTGCTCTATCTATAGGAATGTTCAACTCTGTGAGTCGAATGCAATCATCACAAAGTAGTTTCTGAGAATGCTTCCATCTAGTTTTATGTGAAGATTTTCCTTTTCCACCACAGGCCTCAAAGCCCTCCAAATGTCCACTTGCAGATTCTAGAAAAAGAGGTTTTCAGAGCTGCTCTGTCAAGAGGAAAGTTCAATTCTTGAAGTGGAACACAAACATCACAAAGCAGTTTCTGAGAATGCTTCTGTTTAGTTTTTCTGTGAAGATGAACCCGTTTCCAACGAAATCTTCACAGAGGTCCACATATCCACTTGCAGAATCCAAAGAAAGAGAGTTTCAAAACTGCTCCATCAGCAGGATTGTTCACCTCTGTGAGTTGAATGCAGTCATCACAGGAAACATTCTGAGAATGCTTCTGTCTAGGTTTGATGTGAAGATATACCCGTTTCGAAGGAAGGCCACAAAGTGGTCCAAATATCCACTTGCAGATTCTACAAAAAGAGTGTTTGAAAGCTGAACTATGAAAGCAAGGTTCAACTCTGTGAGTTGAATGCAAAAATCACAAAGAAGTTTCTCAGAATGCTTCCGTGTAGTTCTGGGAAGTTTATCCCGTTTCCAACGAAATCCTCAGAGAGGTCCAAATATCCACTTGCAGATTCTACAGAAAGTGTGTTTGGAAACTGCTCCGTCTAAAGGAATGTTCAGCTCTGTTAGTTCTATCCAATGATCACTAAGAATTGTCTGTGAATGCTTCCGTTTGGTTTTTAGATGAAGTTATTTCCTTTACTACAGTAGGCCTCAAAGCAGTCCAAATCTCCAATCGCAGATTCTACAAAAAGATTGTTTACAACCTGCTCTATCTATAGGAATGTTCAACTCTGTGAGTCGAATGCAATCATCACAAAGCAGTTTCTGAGAATGCTTCCATCTAGTTTTTATGTGAAGATTTTCCTTTTCCACCACAGGCCTCAAAGCCCTCCAAATGTCCACTTGCAGATTCTAGAAAAAGAGGGTTTCAGAGCTGCTCTGTCAAGAGGAAAGTTCAATTCTTGAAGTGGAACACAAACATCACAAAGTAGTTTCTGAGAATGCTCCTGTTTAGTTTTTCTGTGAAGATGAACCCGTTTCCAACGAAATCTTCACAGAGGTCCACATATCCACTTGCAGAATCCAAAGAAACAGAGTTTCAAAACTGCTCCATCAGCAGGATTGTTCACCTCTGTGAGTTGAATGCAGTCATCACAGGAAACATTCTGAGAATGCTTCTGTCTAGGTTTGATGTGAAGATATACCCGTTTCGAAGGAAGGCCACAAAGTTGTCCAAATATCCACTTGCAGATTCTACAAAAAGAGTGTTTGAAAACTGAACTATGAAAGCAAGGTTCAACTCTGTGAGTTGAATGCAAACATCACAAAGAAGTTTCTCAGAATACTTCCGTGTAGTTCTGGGAAGTTTATCCCGTTTCCAACGAAATCCTCAGAGAGTTCCAAATATCCACTTGCAGATTCTACAGAAAGTGTGTTTGGAAACTCCTCCATCTAAAGGAATGTTCAGCTCTGTTAGTTCAATCCAATGATCACTAAGAATTGTCTGTGAATGCTTCCGTTTGGTTTTTAGATGAAGTTATTTCCTTTACTACAGTAGGCCTCAAAGCAGTCCAAATCTCCAATCGCAGATTCTACAAAAAGATTGTTTACAACCTGCTCTATCTATAGGAATGTTCAACTCTGTGAGTCGAATGCAATCATCACAAAGTAGTTTCTGAGAATGCTTCCATCTAGTTTTTATGTGAAGATTTTCCTTCTCCACCACAGGCCTCAAAGCCCTCCAAATGTCCACTTGCAGATTCTAGAAAAAGAGGGTTTCAGAGCTGCTCGGTCAAGAGGAAAGTTCAATTCTTGAAGTGGAACACAAACATCACAAAGCAGTTTCTGAGAATGCTCCTGTTTAGTTTTTCTGCGAAGATGAACCCGTTTCCAACGAAATCTTCACAGAGTTCCACATATCCACTTGCAGAATCCAAAGAAAGAGAGTTTCAAAACTGCTCCAACAGCAGGATTGTTCACCTCTGTGAGTTGAATGCAGTCATCACAGGAAACATTCTGAGAATGCTTCTGTCTAGGTTTGATGTGAAGATATACCCGTTTCGAAGGAAGGCCACAAAGTTGTCAAATATCCACTTGCGGATCCTACAAAAAGAGTGTTTGAAAGCTGAACTATGAAAGCAAGGTTCAACTCTGTGAGTTGAATGCAAACATCACAAAGAAGTTTCTCAGAATGCTTCCGTGTAGTTCTGGGAAGTTTATCCCGTTTCCAACGAAATCCTCAGAGAGGTCCAAATATCCACTTGCAGATTCTACAGAAAGTGTGTTTGGAAACTGCTCCATCTAAAGGAATGTTCAGCTCTGTTAGTTCAATCCAATGATCACTAAGAATTGTCTGTGAATGCTTCCGTTTGGTTTTTAGATGAAGTTATTTCCTTTACTACAGTAGGCCTCAAAGCAGTAAAATCTCCAATCGCAGATTCTACAAAAAGATTGTTTACAACCTGCTCTATCTATAGGAATGTTCAACTCTGTGAGTCGAATGCAATCATCGCAAAGTAGTTTCTGAGAATGCTTCCATCTAGTTTTTATGTGAAGATTTTCCTTTTCCACCACAGGCCTCAAAGCCCTCCAAATGTCCACTTGCAGATTCTAGAAAAAGAGGGTTTCAGAGCTGCTCTGTCAAGAGGAAAGTTCAATCCTTGAAGTGGAACACAAACATCACAAAGCAGTTTCTGAGAATTCTCCTGTTTAGTTTTTCTGTGAAGATGAACCCGTTTCCAACGAAATCTTCACAGAGGTCCACATATCCACTTGCAGAATCCAAAGAAAGAGAGTTTCAAAACTGCTCCATCAGCAGGATTGTTCACCTCTGTGAGTTGAATGCAGTCATCACAGGAAACATTCTGAGAATGCTTCTGTCTAGGTTTGATGTGAAGATATACCCGTTTCGAAGGAAGGCCACAAAGTGGTCCAAATATCCAGTTGCAGATTCTACAAAAAGAGTGTTTGAAAGCTGAACTATGAAAGCAAGGTTCAACTCTGTGAGTTGAATGCAAACATCACAAAGAAGTTTCTCACAATGCTTCCGTGTAGTTCTGGGAAGTTTATCCCGTTTCCAACGAAATCCTCAGAGAAGTCCAAATATCCACTTGCAGATTCTACAGAAAGTGTGTTTGGAAAATGCTCCATCTAAAGGAATGTTCAGCTCTGTTAGTTCAATGCAATGATCACTAAGAATTGTCTGTGAATGCTTCCGTTTGATTTTTAGATGAAGTTATTTCCTTTACTACAGTAGGCCTCAAAGCAGTCCAAATCTCCAATCGCAGATTCTACAAAAAGATTGTTTTCAACCTGCTCTATCTATAGGAATGTTCAACTCTGTGAGTCGAATGCAATCATCACAAAGTAGTTTCTGAGAATGCTTCCATCTAGTTTTTATGGGAAGATTTTCCTTTTCCACCACAGGCCTCAAAGCCCTCCAAATGTCCACTTGCAGATTCTAGAAAAAGAGGGTTTCAGAGCTGCTCTGTCAAGAGGAAAGTTCAATTCTTGAAGTGGAACACAAACATCACAAAGCAGTTTCTGAGAATGCTTCTGTTTAGTTTTTCTGTGAAGATGAACCCGTTTCCAACGAAATCTTCACAGAGGTCCACATATCAACTTGCAGAATCCAAAGAAAGAGAGTTTCAAAACTGCTTCATCAACAGGATTGTTCACCTCTGTGAGTTGAATGCAGTCATCACAGGAAACATTACTGAGAATGCTTCTGTCTAGGTTTGATGTGAAGATATACCCGTTTCGAAGGAAGGCCACAAAGTGGTCCAAATATCCACTTGCAGATTCTACAAAAAGAGTGTTTGAAAGCTGAACTATGAAAGCAAGGTTCAACTCTGTGAGTTGAATGCAAACATCACAAAGAAGTTTCTCAGAATGCTTCCGTGTAGTTCTGGGAAGTTTATCTCGTTTCCAACGAAATCCTCAGAGAAGTCCAAATATCCACTTGCAGATTCTACAGAAAGTGGGTTTGGAAACTGCGCCATCTAAAGGAATGTTCAGCTCTGTTAGTTCAATCCAATAGATCACTAAGAATTGTCTGTGAATGCTTCCGTTTGTTTTTTAGATGAAGTTATTTCCTTTACTACAGTAGGCCTCAAAGCAGTCCAAATCTCCAATCGCAGATTCTACAAAAAGATTGTTTACAACCTGCTCTATCTATAGGAATGTTCAACTCTGTGAGTCGAATGCAATCATCACAAAGGAGTTTCTGAGAATGCTTCCATCTAGTTTTTATGTGAAGATTTTCCTTTTCCACCACAGGCCTCAAAGGCCCTCCAAATGTCCACTTGCAGATTCTAGAATAAGAGGGTTTCAGAGCTGCTCGGTCAAGAGGAAAGTTCAATTCTTGAAGTGGAACACAAACATCACAAAGCAGTTTCTGAGAATGCTCCTGTTTAGTTTTTCTGTGAAGATGAACCCGTTTCCAACGAAATCTTCACAGAGGTCCACATATCCACTTGCAGAATCCAAAGAAAGAGAGTTTCAAAACAGCTCCATCAGCAGGATTGTTCACCTCTGTGAGTTGAATGCAGTCATCACAGGAAACATTCTGAGAATGCTCTGTCTAGGTTTGATGTGAAGATATACCCGTTTCGAAGGAAGGCCACAAAGTGGTCCAAATATCCACTTGCAGATTCTACAAAAAGAGTGTTTGAAAGCTGAACTATGAAAGCAAGGTTCAACTCTGTGAGTTGAATGCAAACATCACAAAGAAGTTTCTCAGAATGCTTTCCCTGTAGTTCTGGGAAGTTTATCCCGTTTCCAACGAAATCCTCAGAGAAGTCCTAATATCCACTTGCAGATTCTACAGAAAGTGTGTTTGGAAACTGCTCCATCTAAAGGAATGTTCAGCTCTGTTAGTTCAATCCAATGATCACTAAGAATTGTCTGTGAATGCTTTCCGTTTGGTTTTTAGATGAAGTTATTTCCTTTACTACAGTAGGCCTCAAAGCTGTCCAAATCTCTAATCGCAGATTCTACAAAAAGATTGTTTACAACCTGGTCTCTCTATAGGAATGTTCAACTCTGTGAGTCGAATGCAATCATCACAAAGTAGTTTCTGAGAATGCTTCCATCTAGTTTTTATGTGAAGATTTTCCATTTCCACCACAGGCCTCAAAGCCCTCCAAATGTCCACTTGCAGATTCTAGAAAAAGAGGGTTTCAGAGCTGCTCTGTCAAGAGGAAAGTTCAATTCCTGAAGTGGAACACAAATATCACAAAGCAGTTTCTGAGAATGCTCCTGTTTAGTTTTTCTGTGAAGATGAACCCGTTTCCAACGAAATCTTCACAGAGGTCCACATATCCACTTGCAGAATCCAAAGAAAGAGAGTTTCAAAACTGCTCCATCAGCAGGATTGTTCACCTCTGTGAGTTGAATGCAGTCATCACAGGAAACATTCTGAGAATGCTTCTGTCTAGGTTTGATGTGAAGATATACCCGTTTCGAAGGAAGGCCACAAAGTGGTCCAAATATCCACTTGCAGATTCTACAAAAAGAGTGTTTGAAAGCTGAACTATGAAAGCAAGGTTCAACTCTGTGAGTTGAATGCAAACATCACAAAGAAGTTTCTCACAATGCTTCCGTGTAGTTCTGGGAAGTTTATCCCGTTTCCAACGAAATCCTCAGAGAAGTCCAAATATCCACTTGCAGATTCTACAGAAAGTGTGTTTGGAAAATGCTCCATCTAAAGGAATGTTCAGCTCTGTTAGTTCAATCCAATGATCACTAAGAATTGTCTGTGAATGCTTCCATTTGGTTTTTAGATGAAGTTATTTCCTTTACTACAGTAGGCCTCAAAGCAGTCCAAATCTCCAATCGCAGATTCTACAAAAAGATTGTTTACAACCTGCTGTATCTATAGGAATGTTCAACTCTGTGAGTCGAATGCAATCATCACAAAGTAGTTTCTGAGAATGCTTCCATCTAGTTTTTATGTGAAGATTTTCCTTTTCCACCACAGGCCTCAAAGCCCTCCAAATGTCCACTTGCAGATTCTAGAAAAAGAGGGTTTCAGAGCTGCTCTGTCAAGAGGAAAGTTCAATTCCTGAAGTGGAAAACAAACATCACAAAGCAGTTTCTGAGAATGCTCCTGTTTAGTTTTTCTGTGAAGATGAACCCGTTTCCAACGAAATCTTCACAGAGGTCCACATATCCACTTGCAGAATCCAAAGAAAGAGAGTTTCAAAACTGCTCCATCAGCAGGATTGTTCACCTCTGTGAGTTGAATGCAGTCATCACAGGAAACATTCTGAGAATGCTTCTGTCTAGGTTTGATGTGAAGATATACCCGTTTCGAAGGAAGGCCACAAAGTGGTCCAAATATCCACTTGCAGATTCTACAAAAAGAGTGTTTGAAAGCTGAACTATGAAAGCAAGGTTCAACTCTGTGAGTTGAATGCAAACATCACAAAGAAGTTTCTCAGAATGCTTCCGTGTAGTTCTGGGAAGTTTATCCCGTTTCCAACGAAATCCTCAGAGAGGTCCAAATATCCACTTGCAGATTCTACAGAAAGTGTGTTTGGAAACTGCGCCATCTAAAGGAATGTTCAGCTCTGTTAGTTCAATGCAATGATCACTAAGGATTGTCTGTGAATGCTTCCGTTTGGTTTTTAGATGAAGTTATTTCCTTCACTACAGTAGGCCTCAAAGCAGTCCAAATCTCCAATCGCAGATTCTACAAAAAGATTGTTTACAACCTGGTCTATCTATAGGAATGTTCAACTCTGTGAGTCGAATGCAATCATCACAAAGTAGTTTCTGAGAATGCTTCCATCTAGTTTTTCTGTGAAGATTTTCCTTTTCCACCACAGGCCTCAAAGCCCTCCAAATGTCCACTTGCAGATTCTAGAATAAGAGGGTTTCAGAGCTGCTCATTCAAGAGGAAAGTTCAATTCCTGAAGTGGAACACAGACATCACAAAGCAGTTTCTGAGAATGCTCCTGTTTAGTTTTTCTGTGAAGATGAACCCGTTTCCAACGAAATCTTCACAGAGGTCCACATATCCACTTGCAGAATCCAAAGAAAGAGAGTTTCAAAACTGCTCCATCAGCAGGATTGTTCACCTCTGTGAGTTGAATGCAGTCATCACAGGAAACATTCGGAGAATGCTTCTGTCTAGGTTTGATGTGAACATATACCCGTTTCGAAGGAAGGCCACAAAGTGGTCCAAATATCCACTTGCAGAATCTACAAAAAGAGTGTTTGAAAGCTGAACTATGAAAGCAAGGTTAAACTCTGTGAGTTGAATGCAAACATCACAAAGAAGTTTCTCAGAATGCTTCCGTGTAGTTCTGGGAAGTTTATCCCATTTCCAACGAAATCCTCAGAGAAGTCCAAATATCCACTTGCAGATTCTACAGAAATTGGGTTTGGAACCTGCTCCATCTAAAGGAATATTCAGCTCTGTTAGTTCAATCCAATGATCACTAAGAATTGTCTGTGAATGCTTCCGTTTGGTTTTTAGATGAAGTTATTTCCTTTACTACAGTAGGCCTCAAAGCAGTCCAAATCTCCAATCGCAGATTCTACAAAAAGATTGTTTACAACCTGCTCTATCTATAGGAATGTTCAACTCTGTGAGTCGAATGCAATCATCACATAGTAGTTTCTGAGAATGCTTCCATCTAGTTTTTATGTGAAGATTTTCCTTTTCCACCACAGGCCTCAAAGCCCTCCAAATGTCCACTTGCAGATTCTAGAATAAGAGGGTTTCAGAGCTGCTCTGTCAAGAGGAAAGTTCAATTCTTGAAGTGGAACACAAACATCACAAAGCAGTTTCTGAGAATGCTTCTGTTTAGTTTTTCTGTGAAGATGAACCCGTTTCCAACGAAATCTTCACAGAGGTCCACATATCCACTTGCAGAATCCAAAGAAAGAGAGTTTCAAAACTGCTCCATCAGCAGGATTGTTCACCTCTGTGAGTTGAATGCAGTCATCACAGGTAACATTCTGAGAATGCTTCTGTCTAGGTTTGATGTGAAGATATACCCGTTTCGAAGGAAGGCCACAAAGTGGTCCAAATATCCACTTGCAGATTCCACAAAAAGAGTGTTTGAAAGCTGAACTATGAAAGCAAGGTTCAACTCTGTGAGTTGAATGCTAACATCACAGAGAAGTTTCTCACAATGCTTCCGTGTAGTTCTGGGAAGTTTATCCCGTTTCCAACGAAATCCTCAGAGAAGTCCAAATATCCACTTGCAGATTCTACAGAAAGTGTGTTTGGAAACTGCGCCATCTAAAGGAATGTTCAGCTCTGTTAGTTCAATGCAATGATCACTAAGAATTGTCTGTGAATGCTTCCGTTTGGTTTTTAGATGAAGTTATTTCCTTTACTACAGTAGGCCTCAAAGCAGTCCAAATCTCCAATCGCAGATTCTACAAAAAGATTGTTTACAACCTGCTCTATCTATAGGAATGTTCAACTCTGTGAGTCGAATGCAATCATCACAAAGTAGTTTCTGAGAATGCTTCCATCTAGTTTTTATGTGAAGATTTTCCTTTTCCACCACAGGCCTCAAAGCCCTCCAAATGTCCACTTGCAGATTCTAGAAAAAGAGGGTTTCAGAGCTGCTCTGTCAAGAGGAAATTTCAATTCCTGAAGTGGAACACAAACATCACAAAGCAGTTTCTGAGAATGCTTCTGTTTAGTTTTTCTGTGAAGATGAACCCGTTTCCAACGAAATCTTCACAGAGGTCCACATATCCACTTGCAGAATCCAAAGAAAGAGAGTTTCAAAACTGCTCCATCAGCAGGATTGTTCACCTCTGTGAGTTGAATGCAGTCATCACAGGAAACATTCTGAGAATGCTTCTGTCTAGGTTTGATGTGAAGATATACCCGTTTCGAAGGAAGGCCACAAAGTGGTCCAAATATCCACTTGCAGATTCTACAAAAAGAGTGTTTGAAAGCTGAACTATGAAAGCAAGGTTCAACTCTGTGAGTTGAATGCAAACATCACAAAGAAGTTTCTCAGAATGCTTCCGTGTAGTTCTGGGAAGTATATCCCGTTTCCAACGAAATCCTCAGAGAGGTCCAAATATCCACTTGCAGATTCTACAGAAATTGGGTTTGGAAACTGCTCCATCTAAAGGAATGTTCAGCTCTGTTAGTTCAATCCAATGATCACTAAGCATTGTCTGTGAATGCTTCCGTTTGGTTTTTAGATGAAGTTATTTCCTTTACTACAGTAGGTCTCAAAACAGTCCAAATATCCAATCGCGGATTCTACAAAAAGATTGTTTACAACCTGCTCTATCTATAGGAATGTTCAACTCTGTGAGTCGAATGCAATCATCAGAAAGTAGTTTCTGAGAATGCTTCCATCTAGTTTTTATGTGAAGATTTTCCTTTTCCACCACAGGCCTCAAAGCCCACCAAATGTCCACTTGCAGATTCTAGAAAAAGAGGGTTTCAGAGCTGCTCTGTCAAGAGGAAAGTTCAATTCTTGAAGTGGAACACAAACATCACAAAGCAGTTTCTGAGAATGCTCCTGTATAGTTTTTCTGTGAAGATGAACCCGTTTCCAACGAAATCTTCACAGAGGTCCACATATCCACTTGCAGAATCCAAAGAAAGAGAGTTTCAAAACTGCTCCATCGGCAGGATTGTTCACCTCTGTGAGTTGAATGCAGTCATCACAGGAAACATTCTGAGAATGCTTCTGTCTAGGTTTGATGTGAAGATATACCCGTTTCGAAGGAAGGCCACAAAGTGGTCCCAAATATCCACTTGCAGATTCTACAAAAAGAGTGTTTGAAAGCTGAACTATGAAAGCAAGGTTCAACTCTGTGAGTTGAATGCAAACATCACAAAGAAGTTTCTCAGAATGCTTCCGTGTAGTTCTGGGAAGTTTATCCCGTTTCCAACGAAATCCTCAGAGAAGTCCAAATATCCACTTGCAGATTCTACAGAAAGTGTGTTTGGAAACTGCTCCATCTAAAGGAATGTTCAGCTCTGTTAGTTCAATCCAATGATCACTAAGAATTGTCTGTGAATGCTTCCGTTTGGTTTTTAGATGAAGTTATTTCCTTTACTACAGTAGGCCTCAAAGCAGTCCAAATCTCCAATCGCAGATTCTACAAAAAGATTGTTTACAACCTGCTCTATCTATAGGAATGTTCAACTCTGTGAGTCGAATGCAATCATCACAAAGTAGTTTCTGATAATACTTCCATCTAGTTTTTATGTGAAGATTTTCCTTTTCCACCACAGGCCTCAAAGCCGTCCAAATGTCCACTTGCAGATTCTAGAAAAAGAGGGTTTCAGAGCTGCTCTGTCAAGAGGAAAGTTCAATTCTTGAAGTGGAACACAAACATCACAAAGCAGTTTACTGAGAATGCTCCTGTTTAGTTTTTCTGTGAAGATGAACCCGTTTCCAACGAAATCTTCACAGAGGTCCACATATCCACTTGCAGAATCCAAAGAAAGGGAGTTTCAAAACTGCTCCATCAGCAGGATTGTTCACCTCTGTGAGTTGAATGCAGTCATCACAGGAAACATTCTGCGCATGCTTCTGTCTAGGTTTGATGTGAAGATATACCCGTTTCGAAGGAAGGCCAAAAAGTGGTCCAAATATCCACTTGCAGATTCTACAAAAAGAGTGTTTGAAAGCTGAACTATGAAATCAAGGTCCAACTCTGTGAGTTGAATGCAAACATCACAAAGAAGTTTCTCAGAATGCTTCCGTGTAGTTCTGGGAAGTTTATCCCGTTTCCAACGAAATCCTCAGAGAAGTCCAAATATCCACTTGCAGATTCTACAGAAAGTGTGTTTGGAAACTGCTCCATCTAAAGGAATGTTCAGCTCTGTTAGTTCAATGCAATGATCACTAAGAATTGTCTGTGAATGCTTCCGTTTGGTTTTTAGATGAAGTTATTTCCTTTACTACAGTAGGCCTCAAAGCAGTCCAAATCTCCAATCGCAGATTCTACAAAAAGATTGTTTACAACCTGCTCTATCTATAGGAATGTTCAACTCTGTGAGTCGAATGCAACCATCACAAAGTAGTTTCTGAGAATGCTTCCATCTAGTTTTTATGGGAAGATTTTCCTTTTCCACCACAGGCCTCAAAGCCCTCCAAATGTCCACTTGCAGATTCTAGAAAAAGAGGGTTTCAGAGCTGCTCTGTCAAGAGGAAAGTTCAATTCTTGAAGTGGAACACAAACATCACAAAGCAGTTTCTGAGAATGCTTCTGTTTAGTTTTTCTGTGAAGATGAACCCGTTTCCAACGAAATCTTCACAGAGGTCCACATATCAACTTGCAGAATCCAAAGAAAGAGAGTTTCAAAAGTGCTCCATCAACAGGATTGTTCACCTCTGTGAGTTGAATGCAGTCATCACAGGAAACATTCTGAGAATGCTTCTGTCTAGGTTTGATGTGAAGATGTACCCGTTTCAAAGGAAAGCCACAAAGTGGTCCAAATATCCACTTGCAGATTCTACAAAAAGAGTGTTTGAAAGCTGAACTATGAAAGCAAGGTTCAACTCTGTGAGTTGAATGCAAACATCACAAAGATGTTTCTCACAATGCTTCCGTGTAGTTCTGGGAAGTTTATCCCGTTTCCAACGAAATCCTCAGAGAAGTCCAAATATCCACTTGCAGATTCTACAGAAAGTGTGTTTGGAAACTGCTCCATCTAAAGGAATGTTCAGCTCTGTTAGTTCAATCCAATGATCACTAAGAATTGTCTGTGAATGCTTCCGTTTGTTTTTTAGATGAAGTTATTTCCTTTACTACAGTAGGCCTCAAAGCAGTCCAAATCTCCAATCGCAGATTCTACAAAAAGATTGTTTACAACCTGCTCTATCTATAGGAATGTTCAACTCTGTGAGTCGAATGCAATCATCACAAAGTAGTTTCTGATAATGCTTCCATCTAGTTTTTATGTGAAGATTTTCCTTTTCCACCACAGGCCTCAAAGCCCTCCAAATGTCCACTTGCAGATTCTAGAATAAGAGGGTTTCAGAGCTGTTCTGTCAAGAGGAAAGTTCAATTCCTGAAGTGGAACACAAACATCACAAAGCAGTTTCTGAGAATGCTTCTGTTTAGTTTTTCTGTGAAGATGAACCCGTTTCCAACGAAATCTTCACAGAGGTCCACATATCAACTTGCAGAATCCAAAGAAAGAGAGTTTCAAAACTGCTCCATCAGCAGGATTGTTCACCTCTGTGAGTTGAATGCAGTCATCACAGGAAAAATTCTGAGAATGCTTCTGTCTAGATTTGATGTGAAGATATACCCGTTTCGAAGGAAGGCCACAAAGTGGTCCAAATATCCACTTGCAGATTCTACAAAAAGAGGGTTTGAAAGCTGAACTATGAAAGCAAGCTTCAACCCTCTGAGTTGAATGCAAACATCACAAAGAAGTTTCTCAGAATGCTTCCGTGTAGTTCTGGGAAGTTTATCCCGTTTCCAACGAAATTCTCAGAGAAGTCCAAATATCCACTTGCAGATTCTACAGAAAGTGGGTTTGGAAACTGCTCCATCTAAAGGAATGTTCAGCTCTGTTAGTTCAATCCAATGATCACTAAGAATTGTCTGTGAATGCTTTCCGTTTGGTTTTTAGATGAAGTTATTTCCTTTACTACAGTAGGCCTCAAAGCAGTCCAAATCTCCAATCGCAGATTCTACAAAAAGATGGTTTACAACCTGCTCTATCTATAGGAATGTTCAACTCTGTGAGTCGAATGCAATCATCACAAAGTAGATTCTGAGAATGCTTCCATCTAGTTTTTATGTGAAGATTTTCCTTTTCCACCACAGGCCTCAAAGCCCTCCAAATGTCCACTTGCAGATTCTAGAAAAAGAGGGTTTCAGAGCTGCTCTGTCAAGAGGAAAGTTCAATTCTTGAAGTGGAACACAAACATCACAAAGTAGTTTCTGAGAATGCTCCTGTTATTTTTTCTGTGAAGATGAACCCGTTTCCAACGAAATCTTCACAGAGGTCCACATATCCACTTGCAGAATCCAAAGAAAGAGAGTTTCAAAAGTGCTCCATCAACAGGATTGTTCACCTCTGTGAGTTGAATGCAGTCATCACAGGAAACATTCTGAGAATGCTTCTGTCTAGGTTTGATGTGAAGATATACCCGTTTCGAAAGAAGGCCACAAAGTGGTCCAAATATCCACTTGCAGATTCTACAAAAAGAGGGTTTGAAAGCTGAACTATGAAAGCAAGGTTCAACTCTGTGAGTTGAATGCAAACATCACAAAGAAGTTTCTCAGAATGCTTCCGTGTAGTTCTGGGAAGTTTATCCCTTTTCCAACGAAATCCTCAGAGAAGTCCAAATATCCACTTGCAGATTCTACAGAAAGTGGGTTTGGAAACTGCTCCATCTAAAGGAATGTTCAGCTCTGTTAGTTCAATCCAATGATCACTAAGAATTGTCTGTGAATGCTTCCGTTTGGTTTTTAGATGAAGTTATTTCCTTTACTACAGTAGGCCTCAAAGCAGTCCAAATCTCCAATCGCAGATTCTACAAAAAGATTGTTTACAACCTGCTCTATCTATAGGAATGTTCAACTCTGTGAGTCGAATGCAATCATCACAAAGGAGTTTCTGAGAATGCTTCCATCTAGTTTTTATGTGAAGATTTTCCTTTTCCACCACAGGCCTCAAAGCCCTCCAAATGTCCACTTGCAGATTCTAGAATAAGAGGGTTTCAGAGCTGCTCTGTCAAGAGGAAAGTTCAATTCCTGAAGTGGAACACAAACATCACAAAGCAGTTTCTGAGAATGCTTCTGTTTAGTTTTTCTGTGAAGATGAACCCGTTTCCAACGAAATCTTCACAGAGGTCCACATATCAACTTGCAGAATCCAAAGAAAGAGAGTTTCAAAACTGCTCCATCAACAGGATTGTTCACCTCTGTGAGTTGAATGCAGTCATCACAGGAAACATTCTGAGAATTCTTCTGTCTAGGTTTGATGTGAAGATATACCCTTTTCGAAGGAAGGCCACAAAGTGGTCCAAATATCCACTTGCAGATTCTACAAAAAGAGTGTTTGAAAGCTGAACTATGAAAGCAAGGTGCAAATCCTGTGAGTTGAATGCAAACATCACAAAGAAGTTTCTCAGAATGCTTTCCGTGTAGTTCTGGGAAGTTTATCCCGTTTCCAACGAAATCCTCAGAGAAGTCCAAATATCCAGTGGCAGATTCTACAGAAAGTGTGTTTGGAAACTGCGCCATCGAAAGGAATGTTCAGCTCTGTTAGTTCAATCCAATGATCACTAAGAATTGTCTGTGAATGCTTCCGTTTGGTTTTTAGATGAAGTTATTTCCTTTACTACAGTAGGCCTCAAAGCAGTCCAAATCTCCAATCGCAGATTCTACAAAAAGATTGTTTACAACCTGCTCTATCTATAGGAATGTTCAACTCTGTGAGTCGAATGCAATCATCACAAAGTAGTTTCTGAGAATGCTTCCATCTAGTTTTTATGTGAAGATTTTCCTTTTCCACCACAGGCCTCAAAGCCCTCCAAATGTCCACTTGCAGATTCTAGAAAAAGAGGGTTTCAGAGCTGCTCTGTCAAGAGGAAAGTTCAATTCTTGAAGTGGAACACAAACATCACAAAGCAGTTTCTGAGAATGCTTCTGTTTAGTTTTTCTGTGAAGATGAACCCGTTTCCAACGAAATCTTCACAGAGGTCCACATATCCACTAGCAGAATCCAAAGAAAGAGAGTTTCAAAACTGCTCCATCAGCAGGATTGTTCACCTCTGTGAGTTGAATGCAGTCATCACAGGAAACATTCTGAGAATGCTTCTGTCTAGGTTTGATGTGAAGATATACCAGTTTCAAAGGAAGGCCACAAAGTGGTCCAAATATCCACTTGCAGATTCTACAAAAAGAGTGTTTGAAAGCTGAACTATGAAAGCAAGGTTCAACTCTGTGACTTGAATGCAAACATCACAAAGAAGTTTCTCACAATGCTTCCGTGTAGTTCTGGGAAGTTTATCCCATTTCCAACGAAATCCTCAGAGAAGTCCAAATATCCACTTGCAGATTCTACAGAAAGTGTGTTTGGAAACAGCCCCATCTAAAGGAATGTTCAGCTCTGTTAGTTCAATCCAATGATCACTAAGAATTGTCTGTGAATGCTTCCGTTAGGTTTTTAGATGAAGTTATTTCCTTTACTACAGTAGGCCTCAAAGCAGTCCAAATCTCCAATCGCAGATTCTACAAAAAGATTGTTTACAACCTGCTCTATCTATAGGAATGTTCAACTCTGTGAGTCGAATGCAATCATCACAAAGTAGTTTCTGAGAATGCTTCCATCTAGTTTTTATGTGAAGATTTTCCTTTTCCACCGCAGGCCTCAAAGCCCTCCAAATGTCAACTTGCAGATTCTAGAAAAAGAGGGTTTCAGAGCTGCTCTGTCAAGAGGAAAGTTCAATTCCTGAAGTGGAACACAAACATCACAAAGCAGTTTGCTGAGAATGCTTCCTGTTTAGTTTTTCTGTGAAGATGAACCCGTTTCCAACGAAATCTTCACAGAGGTCCACATATCCACTTGCAGAATCCAAAGAAAGAGAGTTTCAAAACTGCTCCATCAGCAGGATTGTTCACCTCTGTGAGTTGAATGCAGTCATCACAGGAAACATTCTGAGAATGCTTCTGTCTAGGTTTGATGTGAAGATATACCCGTTTCGAAGGAAGGCCACAAAGTGGTCCAAATATCCACTTGCAGATTCTACAAAAAGAGTGTTTGAAAGCTGAACAATGAAAGCAAGGTTCAACTCTGTGAGTTGAATGCCAACATCACAAAGAAGTTTCTCACAATGCTTCCGTGTAGTTCTGGGAAGTTTATCCCGTTTCCAACGAAATCCTCAGAGAAGTCCAAATATCCACTTGCAGATTCTACAGAAAGTGTGTTTGGAAACTGCGCCATCTAAAGGAATGTTCAGCTCTGTTAGTTCAATGCAATGATCACTAAGAATTGTCTGTGAATGCTTCCGTTTGGTTTTTAGATGAAGTTATTTCCTTTACTACAGTAGGCCTCAAAGCAGTCCAAATCTCCAATCGCAGATTCTACAAAAAGATTGTTTACAACCTGCTCTATCTATAGGCATGTTCAACTCTGTGAATCGAATGCAATCATCACAAAGTAGTTTCTGAGAATGCTTCCATAAAGTTTTTATGTGAAGATTTTCCTTTTCCACCACAGGCCTCAAAGCCTTCCAAATGTCCACTTGCAAATTCTAGAAAAAGAGGGTTTCAGAGCTGCTCTGTCAAGAGGAAAGTTCAATTCTTTAAGTGGAACACAAACATCACAAAGCAGTTTCTGAGAATGCTCCTGTTTAGTTTTTCTGTGAAGATGAACCCGTTTCCAACGAAATCTTGACAGAGGTCCACATATCCACTTGCAGAATCCAAAGAAAGAGAGTTTCAAAACTGCTCCATCAACAGGATTGTTCACCTCTATGAGATGAATGCAGTCATCACAGGAAACATTCTGAGAATGCTTCTGTCTAGGTTTGATGTGAAGATATACCCGTTTCGAAGGAAGGCCACAAAGTGGTCCAAATATCCACTTGCAGATTCTACAAAAAGAGTGTTTGAAAGCTGAACTATTAAAGCAAGGTTCAACTCTGTGAGTTGAATGCAAACATCACAAAGAAGTTTCTCAGAATGCTTCCGTGTAGTTCTGGGAATTTTATCCCGTTTCCAACGAAATCCTCAGAGAAGTCCAAATATCCACTTGCAGATTCTACAGAAAGTGGGTTTGGAAACTGCGCCATCTAAAGGAATGTTCAGCTCTGTTAGTTCACTCCAATGATCACTAAGAATTGTCTGTGAATGCTTCCGTTTGGTTTTTAGATGAAGTTATTTCCTTTACTACAGTAGGCCTCAAAGCAGTCCAAATCTCCAATCGCAGATTCTACAAAAAGATTGTTTACAACCTGCTCTATCTATAGGAATGTTCAACTCTGTGAGTCGAATGCAATCATCACAAAGTAGTTTCTGAGAATGCTTCCATCTAGTTTTTATGTGAAGATTTTCCTTTTCCACCACAGGCCTCAAAGCCCTCCAAATGTCCACTTGCAGATTCTAGAATAAGAGGGTTTCAGAGCTGCTCTGTCAAGAGGAAAGTTCAATTCCTGAAGTCGAACACAAACATCACAAAGCAGTTTCTGAGAATGCTTCTGTTTAGTTTTTCTGTGAAGATGAACCCGTTTCCAACGAAATCTTCACAGTGGTCCACATATCAACTTGCAGAATCCAAAGAAAGAGAGTTTCAAAACTGCTCCATCAACAGGATTGTTCACCTCTGTGAGTTGAATGCAGTCATCACAGGAAACATTCTGAGAATGCTTCTGTCTAGGTTTGATGTGAAGATATACCCGTTTCGAAGGAAGGCCACAAAGTGGTCCAAATATCCACTTGCAGATTCTACAAAAAGAGTGTTTGAAAGCTGAACTATGAAAGCAAGGTTCAACTCTGTGAGTTGAATGCAAACATCACAAAGAAGTTTCTCAGCATGCTTCCGTGTAGTTCTGGGAAGTTTATCCCGTTTCCAACGAAATCCTCAGAGAGGTCCAAATATCCACTTGCAGATTCTACAGAAAGTGTGTTTGGAAACTGCTCCATCTAAAGGAATGTTCAGCTCTGTTAGTTCAATGCAATGATCACTAAGAATTGTCTGTGAATGCTTCCGTTTGGTTTTAAGATGAAGTTATTTCCTTTACTACAGTAGGCCTCAAAGCAGGCCAAATCTCCAATCGCAGATTCTACAAAAAGATTGTTTACAACCTGCTCTATCTATAGGAATGTTCAACTCTGTGAGTCGAATGCAATTATCACAAAGAAGTTTCTGAGAATGCTTCCATCTAGTTTTTATGTGAAGGTTTTCCTTTTCCACCACAGGCCTCAAAGCCCTCCAAATGTCCACTTGCAGATTCTAGAAAAAGAGGGTTTCAGAGCTGCTCTGTCAAGAGGAAAGTTCAATTCCTGAAGTGGAATACAAACATCACAAAGCAGTTTCTGAGAATGCTTCTGTTTAGTTTTTCTGTGAAGATGAACCCGTTTCCAACGAAATCTGCACAGAGGTCCACATGTCCACCTGCAGAATACAAAGAAAGAGAGTTTCAAAACTGCTCCATCAACAGGATTGTTCACCTCTGTGAGTTGAATGCAGTCATCACAGGAAACATTCTGAGAATGCTTCTGTCTAGGTTTGATGTGAAGATATACCCGTTTCGAAGGAAGGCCACAAAGTGGTCCAAATATCCACTTGCAGTTTCTACAAAAAGAGTGTTTGAAAGCTGAACTATGAAAGCAAGGTTCAACTCTGTGAGTTGAATGCAAACATCACAAAGAAGTTTCTCACAATGCTTCCGTGTAGTTCTGGGAAGTTTATCCCGTTTCCAACGAAATCCTCAGAGAGGTCCAAATATCCACTTGCAGATTCTACAGAAAGTGTGTTTGGAAACTGCGCCATCTAAAGGAATGTTCAGCTCTGTTAGTTCAATCCAATGATCACTAAGAATTGTCTGTGAATGCTTCCGTTTGGTTTTTAGATGAAGTTATTTCCTTTACTACAGTAGGCCTCAAAGCAGTCCAAATCTCCAATCGCAGATTCTACAAAAACATTGTTTACAACCTGCTCTATCTATAGGAATGTTCAACTCTGTGAGTCGAATGCAATCATCACAAAGTAGTTTCTGAGAATGCTTCCATCTAGTTTTTATGGGAAGATTTTCCTTTTCCACCACAGGCCTCAAAGCCCTCCAAATGTCCACTTGCAGATTCTAGAAAAAGAGGGTTTCAGAGCTGCTCTGTCAAGAGGAAAGTTCAATTGCTTGAAGTGGAACACAAACATCACAAAGCAGTTTCTGAGAATGCTTCTGTTTAGTTTTTCTGTGACGTTGAACCCGTTTCCAACGAAATCTTCACAGAGGTCCACATATCCACTTGCAGAATCCAAAGAAAGAGAGTTTCAAAACTGCTCCATCAGCAGGATTGTTCACCTCTGTGAGTTGAATGCAGTCATCACAGGAAACATTCTGAGAATGCTTCTGTCTAGGTTTGATGTGAAGATATACCCGTTTCGAAAGAAGGCCACAAAGTGGTCCAAATATCCACTTGCAGATTCTACAAAAAGAGTGTTTGAAAGCTGAACTATGAAAACAAGGTTCAACTCTGTGAGTTGAATGCAAACATCACAAAGAAGTTTCTCAGAATGCTTTCCGTGTAGTTCTGGGAAGTATATCCCGTTTCCAACGACATCCTCAGAGAAGTCCAAATATCCACTTGCAGATTCTACAGAAAGTGTGTTTGGAAACTGCTCCATCTAAAGGAATGTTCAGCTCTGTTAGTTCAATCCAATGATCACTAAGAATTGTCTGTGAATGCTTCCGTTTGGTTTTTAGATGAAGTTATTTCCTTTACTACAGTAGGCCTCAAAGCAGTCCAAATCTCCAATCGCAGATTCTACAAAAAGATTGTTTACAACCTGCTCTATCTATAGGAATGTTCAACTCTGTGAGTCGAATGCAATCATCACAAAGTAGTTTCTGAGAATGCTTCCATCTAGTTTGTATGTGAAGATTTTCCTTTTCCACCACAGGCCTCAAAGCCCTCCAAATGTCCACTTGCAGATTCTAGAATAAGAGGGTTTCAGAGCTGCTCTGTCAAGAGGAAAGTTCAGTTCCTGAAGTGGAACGCAAACATCACAAAGCAGTTTCTGAGAATGCTTCTGTTTAGTTTTTCTGTGAAGATGAACCCGTTTCCAACGAAATCTTCACAGAGGTCCACATATCCACTTGCAGAATCCAAAGAAAGAGAGTTTCAAAACTGCTCCATCAGCAGGATTGTTCACCTCTGTGAGTTGAATGCAGTCATCACAGGAAACATTCTGAGAATGCTTCTGTCTAGGTTTGATGTGAAGATATACCCGTTTCAAAGGAAGGCCACAAAGTGGTCCAAATATCCACTTGCAGATTCTACAAAAAGAGTGTTTGAAAGCTGAACAATGAAAGCAGGGTTCAACTCTGTGAGTTGAATGCAAACATCCAAAGAAGTTTCTCAGAATGCTTCCGTGTAGTTCTGGGAAGTTTATCCCGTTTCCAACGAAATCCTCAGAGAGGTCCAAATATCCACTTGCAGATTCTACAGAAAGTGTGTTTGGAAACTGCGCCATCTAAAGGAATGTTCAGCTCTGTTAGTTCAATCCAATAATCACTAAGAATTGTCTGTGAATGCTTCCGTTTGGTTTTTAGATGAAGTTATTTCCTTTACTACAGTAGGCCTCAAAGCAGTCCAAATCTCCAATCGCAGATTCTACAAAAAGATTGTTTACAACCTGCTCTATCTATAGGAATGTTCAACTCTGTGAGTCGAATGCAATCATCACAAAGTAGTTTCTGAGAATGCTTCCATCTAGTTTTTATGTGAAGATTTTCCTTTTCCACCACAGGCCTCAAAGCCCTCCAAATGTCCACTTGCAGATTCTAGAAAAAGAGGGTTTCAGAGCTGCTCTATCAAGAGGAAAGTTCAATTCCTGAAGTGGAACACAAACATCAAAAAGCAGTTTCTGAGAATGCTTCTGTTTAGTTTTTCTGTGAAGATGAACCCGTTTCCAACGAAATCTTTACAGAGGTCCACATATCCACTTGCAGAATCCAAAGAAAGAGAGTTTCAAAACTGCTCCATCAACAGGATTGTTCACCTCTGTGAGTTGAATGCAATCAACACAGGAAACATTCTGAGAATGCTTCTGTCTAGGTTTGATGTGAAGATATACCCGTTTCGAAGGAAGGCCACAAAGTGGTCCAAATATCCACTTGCAGATTCTACAAAAAGAGTGTTTGAAAGCTGAACTATGAAAGCAAGGTTCAACTCTGTGAGTTGAATGCAAACATCACAAAGGAAGTTTCTCACAATGCTTCCGTGTAGTTCTGGGAAGTTTATCCCGTTTCCAACGAAATCCTCAGAGAAGTCCAAATATCCACTTGCAGATTCTACAGAAATTGTGTTTGGAAACTGCTCCATCTAAAGGAATGTTCAGCTCTGTTAGTTCAATCCAATGATCACTAAGAATTGTCTGTGAATGCTTCCGTTTGGTTTTTAGATGAAGTTATTTCCTTTACTACAGTAGGCCTCAAAGCAGTCCAAATCTCCAATCGCAGATTCCACAAAAAGATTGTTTACAACCTGCTCTATCTATAGGAATGTTCAACTCTGTGAGTCGAATGCAATCATCACAAAGTAGTTTCTGAGAATGCTTCCATCTAGTTTTTATGTGAAGATATTCCTTTTCCACCACAGGCCTCAAAGCCCTCCAAATGTCCACTTGCAGATTCTAGAATAAGAGGGTTGCAGAGCTGCTCTGTCAAGAGGAAAGTTCAATTCCTGAAGTGGAACACAAACATCACAAAGCAGTTTCTGAGAATGCTTCTGTTTAGTTTTTCTGTGAAGATGAACCCGTTTCCAACGAAATCTTCACAGAGTTCCACATATCAACTTGCAGAATCCAAAGAAAGAGAGTTTCAAAACTGCTCCATCAACAGGATTGTTCACCTCTGTGAGTTGAATGCAGTCATCACAGGAAACATTCTGAGAATGCTTCTGTCTAGGTTTGATGTGAAGATATACCCGTTTCGAAGGAAGGCCACAAATTGGTCCAAATATCCACTTGCAGATTCTACAAAAAGAGGGTTTGAAAGCTGAACTATGAAACCAAGGTTCAACTCTGTGAGTTGAATGCAAACATCACGAAGAAGTTTCTCAGAATGCTTCCGTGTAGTTCTGGGAAGTTTATCCCGTTTCCAACGAAATCCTCAGAGAAGTCCAAATATCCACTTGCAGATTCTACAGAAAGTGTGTTTGGAAACTGCTCCATCTAAAGGAATGTTCAGCTCTGTTAGTTCAATCCAATGATCACTAAGAATTGTCTGTGAATGCTTCCGTTTGGTTTTTAGATGAAGTTCTTTCCTTTACTGCAGTAGGCCTCAAAGCAGTCCAAATCTCCAATCGCAGATTCTACAAAAAGATTGTTTACAACCTGCTCTATCTATAGGAATGTTCAACTCTGTGAGTCGAATGCAATCATCACAAAGTAGTTTCTGAGAATGCTTCCATCTAGTTTTTATGTGAAGATTTTCCTTTTCCACCACAGGCCTCAAAGCCCTCCAAATGTCCACTTGCAGATTCTAGAAAAAGAGGGTTTCAGAGCTGCTCTGTCAAGAGGAAAGTTCAATTCTTGAAGTGGAACACAAACATCACAAAGTAGTTTCTGAGAATGCTTCTGTTTAGTTTTTCTGTGAAGATGAACCCGTTTCCAACGAAATCTTCACAGAGGTCCACATATCAACTTGCAGAATCCAAAGAAAGAGAGTTTCAAAAGTGCTCCATCAACAGGATTGTTCACCTCTGTGAGTTGAATGCAATCATCACAGGAAACATTCTGAGAATGCTTCTGTCTAGGTTTGATGTGAAGATATACCCGTTTCGAAGGAAGGCCACAAAGTGGTCCAAATATCCACTTGCAGATTCTACAAAAAGAGTATTTGAAAGCTGAACTATGAAAGCAAGGTTCAACTCTGTGAGTTGAATGCAAACATCCCAAAGAAGTTTCTCAGAATGCTTCCGTGTAGTTCTGGGAAGTTTATCCCGTTTCCAACGATATCCTCAGAGAGGTCCAAATATCCACTTGCAGATTCTACAGAAAGTGTGTTTGGAAACTGCTCCATCTAAAGGAATGTTCAGTTCTGTTAGTTCAATGCAATGATCACTAAGAATTGTCTGTGAATGCTTCTGTTTGGTTTTTAGATGAAGTTATTTCCTTTACTACAGTAGGCCTCAAAGCAGTCCAAATCTCCAATCGCAGATTCTACAAAAAGATTGTTTACAACCTGCTCTATCTATAGGAATGTTCAACTCTGTGAGTCGAATGCAATCATCACAAAGTAGTTTCTGAGAATGCTTCCATCTAGTTTTTATGTGAAGATTTTCCTTTTCCACCACAGGCCTCAAAGCCCTCCAAATGTCCACTTGCAGATTCTAGAAAAAGAGGGTTTCAGAGCTGCTCTGTCAAGAGGAAA
This sequence comes from Homo sapiens, assembly GCF_000001405.40. Lineage (NCBI taxonomy): Eukaryota > Metazoa > Chordata > Mammalia > Primates > Hominidae > Homo > Homo sapiens. The sequence continues at coordinate 53,489,072 of NC_000011.10, read as the reverse complement.
GTTCAATTCTTGAAGTGGAACACAAACATCACAAAGTAGTTTCTGAGAATGCTCCTGTTTAGTTTTTCTGTGAAGATGAACACGTTTCCAACGAAATCTTCACAGAGGTCCACATATCCACTTGCAGAATCCAAAGAAAGAGAGTTTCAAAACTGCTCCATCAGCAGGATTGTTCACCTCTGTGAGTTGAATGCAGTCATCACAGGAAACATTCTGAGAATGCTTCTGTCTAGGTTTGATGTGAAGATATACCCGTTTCGAAGGAAGGCCACAAAGTGGTCCAAATATCCACTTGCAGATTCTACAAAAAGAGTGTTTGAAAGCTGAACTATGAAAGCAAGGTTCAACTCTGTGAGTTGAATGCAAACATCACAAAGAAGTTTCTCAGAATGCTTCCCTGTAGTTCTGGGAAGTTTATCCCGTTTCCAACGAAATCCTCAGAGAAGTCCAAATATCCACTTGCAGATTCTACAGAAAGTGGGTTTGGAAACTGCTCCATCTAAAGGAATGTTCAGCACTGTTAGTTCAATGCAATGATCACTAAGAATTGTCTGTGAATGCTTCCGTTTGGTTTTTAGATGAAGTTATTTCCTTTACTACAGTAGGCCTCAAAGCAGTCCAAATCTCCAATCGCAGATTCTACAAAAAGATTGTTTACAACCTGCTCTATCTATAGGAATGTTCAACTCTGTGAGTCGAATGCAATCATCACAAAGTAGTTTCTGAGAATGCTTCCATCTAGTTTTTATGTGAAGATTTTCCTTTTCCACCACAGGCCTCAAAGCCCTCCAAATGTCCACTTGCAGATTCTAGAAAAAGAGGGTTTCAGAGCTGCTCTTTCAAGAGGAAAGTTCAATTCCTGAAGTGGAACACAAACATCACAAAGCAGTTTCTGAGAATGCTTCTGTTTAGTTTTTCTGTGAAGATGAACCCGTTTCCAACGAAATCTTCACAGAGGTCCACATATCCACTTGCAGAATCCAAAGAAAGAGAGTTTCAAAACTGCTCCATCAGCAGGATTGTTCACCTCTGTGAGTTGAATGCAGTCATCACAGGAAACATTCTGAGAATGCTTCTGTCTAGGTTTGATGTGAAGTATATACCCGTTTCGAAGGAAGGCCACAAAGTGGTCCAAATATCCACTTGCAGATTCCACAAAAAGAGTGTTTGAAAGCTGAACTATGAAAGCAAGGTTCAACTCTGTGAGTTGAATGCAAACATCACAAAGAAGTTTCTCACAATGCTTCCGTGTAGTTCTGGGAAGTTTATCCCGTTTCCAACGAAATCCTCAGAGAGGTCCAAATATCCACTTGCAGATTCTACAGAAAGTGTGTTTGGAAACTGCGCCATCTAAGGGAATCTTCAGCTCTGTTAGTTCAATCCAATGATCACTAAGAATTGTCTGTGAATGCTTCCGTTTGGTTTTTAGATGAAGTTATTTCCTTTACTACAGTAGGCCTCAAAGCAGTCCAAATCTCCAATCGCAGATTCTACAAAAAGATTGTTTTCAACCTGCTCAATCTATAGGAATGTTCAACTCTGTGAGTCGAATGCAATCATCACAAAGCAGTTTCTGAGAATGCTTCCATCTAGTTTTTATGTGAAGATTTTCCTTTTCCACCACAGGCCTCAAAGCCCTCCAAATGTCCACTTGCAGATTCTAGAAAAAGAGGGTTTCAGAGCTGCTCTGTCAAGAGGAAAGTTCAATTCTTGAAGTGGAACACAAACATCACAAAGCAGTTTCTGAGAATGCTCCTGTTTAGTTTTTCTGTGAAGATGAATCCGTTTCCAACGAAATCTTCACAGAGGTCCACATATCCACTTGCAGAATCCAAAGAAAGAGAGTTTCAAAACTGCTCCATCAGCAGGATTGTTCACCTCTGTGAGTTGAATGCAGTCATCACAGGAAACATTCTGAGAATGCTTCTGTCTAGGTTTGATGTGAAGATATACCCGTTTCGAAGGAAGGCCACAAAGTGGTCCAAATATCCACTTGCAGATTCTACAAAAAGAGTGTTTGAAAGCTGAACTATGAAAGCAAGGTTCAACTCTGTGAGTTGAATGCAAACATCACAAAGAATTTTCTCACAATGCTTCCGTGTAGTTCTGGGAAGTTTATCCCGTTTCCAACGAAATCCTCAGAGAGGTCCAAATATCCACTTGCAGATTCTACAGAAAGTGTGTTTGGAAACTGCGCCATCTAAAGGAATGTTCACCTCTGTTAGTTCAATGCAATGATCACTAAGAATTGTCTGTGAATGCTTCCGTTTGGTTTTTAGATGAAGTTATTTCCTTTACTACAGTAGGCCTCAAAGCAGTCCAAATCTCCAATCGCAGATTCTACAAAAAGATTGTTTACAACCTGCTCTATGTATAGGAATGTTCAACTCTGTGAGTCGAATGCAATCATCACAAAGTAGTTTCTGAGAATGCTTCCATCTAGTTTTTATGTGAAGATTTTCCTTTTCCACCACAGGCCTCAAAGCCCTCCAAATGTCCACTTGCAGATTCTAGAAAAAGAGGGTTTCAGAGCTGCTCTGTCAAGAGGAAAGTTCAATTACTGAAGTGGAACACAAACATCACAAAGCAGTTTCTGAGAATGCTTCTGTTTAGTTTTTCTGTGAAGATGAACCCGTTTCCAACGAAATCTTCACAGAGGTCCACATATCCACTTGCAGAATCCAAAGAAAGAGAGTTTCAAAACTGCTCCATCAGCAGGATTGTTCACCTCTGTGAGTTGAATGCAGTCATCACAGGAAACATTCTGAGAATGCTTCTGTCTAGGTTTGATGTGAAGATATACCCGTTTCGAAGGAAGGCCACAAAGTGGTCCAAATATCCACTTGCAGATTCTACAAAAAGAGTGTTTGAAAGCTGAAGTATGAAAGCAAGGTTCAACTCTGTGAGTTGAATGCAAACATCACAAAGAAGTTTCTCAGAATGCTTCCGTGTAGTTCTGGGAAGTTTATCCCGTTTCCAACGAAATCCTCAGAGAAGTCCAAATATCCACTTGCAGATTCTACAGAAAGTGTGTTTGGAAACTGCTCCATCTAAAGGAATGTTCAGCTCTGTTAGTTCAATCCAATGATCACTAAGAATTGTCTGTGAATGCTTCCGTTTGGTTTTTAGATGAAGTTATTTCCTTTACTACAGTAGGCCTCAAAGCAGTCCAAATCTCCAATCGCAGATTCTACAAAAAGATTGTTTACAACCTGCTCTATCTATAGGAATGTTCAACTCTGTGAGTCGAATGCAATCATCACAAAGTAGTTTCTGAGAATGCTTCCATCTAGTTTTTATGTGAAGAGTTTCCTTTTCCACCACAGGCCTCAAAGCCCTCCAAATGACCACTTGCAGATTCTAGAAAAAGAGGGTTTCAGAGCTGCTCTGTCAAGAGGAAAGTTCAATTCTTGAAGTGGAACACAAACATCACAAAGCAGTTTCTCAGAATGCTCCTGTTTAGTTTTTCTGTGAAGATGAACCCGTTTCCAACGAAATCTTCACAGAGGTCCACATATCCACTTGCAGAATCCAAAGAAAGAGAGTTTCAAAACTGCTCCATCAGCAGGATTGTTCACCTCTGTGAGTTGAATGCAGTCATCACAGGAAACATTCTGAGAATGCTTCTGTCTAGGTTTGAAGTGAAGATATACCCGTTTCGAAGGAAGGCCACAAAGTGGTCCAAATATCCACTTGCAGATTCTACAAAAAGAGTGTTTGAAAGCTGAACTATGAAAGCAAGGTTCAACTCTGTGAGTTGAATGCAAACATCACAAAGAAGTTTCTCACAATGCTTCCGTGTAGTTCTGGGAAGTTTATCCCGTTTCCAACGAAATCCTCAGAGAGGTCCAAATATCCACTTGCAGATTCTACAGAAAGTGTGTTTGGAAACTGCGCCATCTAAAGGAATGTTCAGCTCTGTTAGTTCAATGCAATGATCACTAAGGATTGTCTGTGAATGCTTCCGTTTGGTTTTTAGATGAAGTTATTTCCTTTACTACAGTAGGCCTCAAAGCAGTCCAAATCTCCAATCGCAGATTCTACAAAAAGATTGTTTACAACCTGCTCTATCTATAGGAATGTTCAACTCTGTGAGTCGAATGCAATCATCACAAAGTAGTTTCTGAGAATGCTTCCATCTAGTTTTTATGTGACGATTTTCCTTTTCCACCACAGGCCTCAAAGCCCTCCAAATGTCCACTTGCAGATTCTAGAAAAAGAGGGTTTCAGAGCTGCTCTGTCAAGAGGAAAGTTCAGTTCCTGAAGTGGAACACAAACATCACAAAGCAGTTTCTGAGAATGCTTCTGTTTAGTTTTTCTGTGACGATGAACCCGTTTCCAACGAAATCTTCACAGAGGTCCACATATCCACTTGCAGAATCCAAAGAAAGAGAGTTTGAAAACTGCTCCATCAGCAGGATTGTTCACCTCTGTGAGTTGAATGCAGTCATCACAGGAAACATTCTGAGAATGCTTCTGTCTAGGTTTGATGTGAAGATATACCCGTTTCGAAGGAAGGCCACAAAGTGGTCCAAATATCCACTTGCAGATTCTACAAAAAGAGTGTTTGAAAGCTGAACTATGAAAGCAAGGTTCAACTCTGTGAGTTGAATGCAAACATCACAAAGAAGTTTCTCACAATGCTTCCGTGTAGTTCTGGGAAGTTTATCCCGTTTCCAACGAAATCCTCAGAGAGGTACAAATATCCACTTGCAGATTCTACAGAAAGTGTGTTTGGAAACTGCGCCATCTAAAGGAATATTCAGCTCTGTTAGTTCAATCCAATGATCACTAAGAATTGTCTGGGAATGCTTCCGTTTGGTTTTTAGATGAAGTAATTTCCTTTACTACAGTAGGCCTCAAAGCAGTCCAAATCTCCAATCGCAGATTCTACAAAAAGATTGTTTACAACCTGCTCTATCTATAGGAATGTTCAACTCTGTGAGTCGAATGCAATCATCACAAAGTAGTTTCTGAGAATGCTTCCATCTAGTTTTTATGTGAAGATTTTCCTTTTCCACCACAGGCCTCAAAGCCCTCCAAATGTCCACTTGCAGATTCTAGAAAAAGAGGGTTTCAGAGCTGCTCTTTCAAGAGGAAAGTTCAATTCCTGAAGTGGAACACAAACATCACAAAGCAGTTTCCTGTGAATGCTTTCTGTTTAGTTTTTCTGTGAAGATGAACCCGTTTCCAACGAAATCTTCACAGAGGTCCACATATCCACTTGCAGAATCCAAAGAAGGAGAGTTTCAAAACTGCTCCATCAGCAGGATTGTTCACCTCTGTGAGTTGAATGCAGTCATCACAGGTAACATTGTGAGAATGCTTCTGTCTAGGTTTGATGTGAAGATATACCCGTTTCGAAGGAAGGCCACAAAGTGGTCCAAATATCCACTTGCAGATTCTACAAAAAGAGTGTTTGAAAGCTGAACTATGAAAGCAAGGTTCAACTCTGTGAGTTGAATGCAAACATCACAAAGAAGTTTCTCAGAATGCTTCCGTGTAGTTCTGGGAAGTTTATCCCGTTTCCAACGAAATCCTCAGAGAAGTCCAAATATCCACTTGCAGATTCTACAGAAAGTGTGTTTGGAAACTGCTCCATCTAAAGGAATGTTCAGCTCTGTTAGTTCAATGCAATGATCACTAAGAATTGTCTGTGAATGCTTCCGTTTGGTTTTTAGATGAAGTTATTTCCTTTACTACAGTAGGCCTCAAAGCAGTCCAAATCTCCAATCGCAGATTCTACAAAAAGATTGTTTACAACCTGCTCTATCTATAGGAATGTTCAACACTGTGAGTCGAATGCAATCATCAAAAGTACTTTCTGAGAATGCTTCCATCTAGTTTTTATGTGAAGATTTTCCTTTTCCACCACAGGCCTCAAAGCCCTCCAAATGTCCACTTACAGATTCTAGAAAAAGAGGGTTTCAGTGCTGCTCTGTCAAGAGGAAAGTTCAATTCTTGAAGTGGAACACAAACATCGCAAAGTAGTTTCTGAGAATGCTCCTGTTTAGTTTTTCTGTGAAGATGAACCCGTTTCCAACGAAATCTTCACAGAGGTCCACATATCCACTTGCAGAATCCAAAGAAAGAGAGTTTCAAAACTGCTCCATCAGCAGGATTGTTCACCTCTGTGAGTTGAATGCAGTCATCACAGGAAACATTCTGAGAATGCTTCTGTCTAGGTTTGATGTGAAGATATACCCGTTTCGAAGGAAGGCCACAAAGTGGTCCAAATATCCACTTGCAGATTCTACAAAAAGAGTGTTTGAAAGCTGAACTATGAAAGCAAGGTTCAACTCTGTGAGTTGAATGTAAACATCCAAAGAAGTTTCTCAGAATGCTTCCGTGTAGTTCTGGGAAGTTTATCCCTTTTCCAACGAAATCCTCAGAGAGGTCCAAATATCCACTTGCAGATTCTACAGAAAGTGTGTTTGGAAACTGCGCCATCTAAAAGAATGTTCAGCTCTGTTAGTTCAATGCAATGATCACTAAGAATTGTCTGTGAATGCTTCCGTTTGGTTTTTAGATGAAGTTATTTCCTTTACTACAGTAGGCCTCAAAGCAGTCCAAATCTCCAATCGCAGATTCTACAAAAAGATTGTTTACAACCTGCTCTATCTATAGGAATGTTCAACTCTGTGAGTCGAATGCAATCATCACAAAGTAGTTTCTGAGAATGCTTCCATCTAGTTTTTATGTGAAGATTTTCCTTTTCCACCACAGGCCTCAAAGCCCTCCAAATGTCCACTTGCAGATTCTAGAATAAGAGGGTTTCAGAGCTGCTCTGTCAAGAGGAAAGTTCAATTCCTGAAGTGGAACACAAACATCACAAAGCAGTTTCTGAGAATGCTCCTGTTTAGTTTTTCTGTGAAGATGAACCCGTTTCCAACGAAATCTTCACAGAGGTCCACATATCCACTTGCAGAATCCAAAGAAAGAGAGTTTCAAAACTGCTCCATCAGCAGGATTGTTCACCTCTGTGAGTTGAATGCAGTCATCACAGGAAACATTCTGAGAATGCTTCTGTCTAGGTTTGATGTGAAGATATACCCCTTTCGAAAGAAGGCCACAAAGTGGTCCTAATATCCACTTGCAGATTCTACAAAAAGAGTGTTTGAAAGCTGAACTATGAAAGCAAGGTTCAACTCTGTGAGTTGAATGCAAACATCACAAAGAAGTTTCTCAGAATGCTTCCGTGTAGTTCTGGGAAGTATATCCCGTTTCCAACGAAATCCTCAGAGAGGTCCAAATATCCACTTGCAGATTCTACAGAAAGTGTGTTTGGAAACTGCGCCATCTAAAGGAATGTTCAGCTCTGTTAGTTCAATCCAATGATCACTAAGCATTGTCTGTGAATGCTTCCGTTTGGTTTTTAGATGAAGTTATTTCCTTTACTACAGTAGGCCTCAAAGCAGTCCAAATCTCCAATCACAGATTCTACAAAAAGATTGTGTACAACCTGCTCTATCTATAGGAATGTTCAACTCTGTGAGTCGAATGCAATCATCACAAAGTAGTTTCTGAGAATGCTTCCATCTAGTTTTTATGTGAAGATTTTCCTTTTCCACCACAGGCCTCAAAGCCCTCCAAATGTCCACTTGCAGATTCTAGAAAAAGAGGGTTTCAGAGCTGCTCTGTCAAGAGGAAAGTTCAATTCTTGAAGTGGAACACAAACATCACAAAGTAGTTTCTGAGAATGCTTCTGTTTAGTTTTTCTGTGAAGATGAACCCGTTTCCAACGAAATCTTCACAGAGGTCCACATATCCACTTGCAGAATCCAAAGAAAGAGAGTTTCAAAACTGCTCCATCAACACGATTGTTCACCTCTGTGAGTTGAATGCAGTCATCAGAGGAAACATTCTGAGAATGCTTCTGTCTAGGTTTGATGTGAAGATATACCCGTTTCGAAGGAAGGCCACAAAGTGGTCCAAATATCCACTTGCAGATTCTACAAAAAGAGTGTTTGAAAGCTGAACTATGAAAGCAAGGTTCAACTCTGTGAGTTGAATGCAAACATCACAAAGAAGTTTCTCAGAATGCTTCCGTGTAGTTCTGGGAAGTTTATCCCGTTTCCTACGAAATCCCCAGAGAGGTCCAAATATCCACTTGCAGATTCTACAGAAAGTGTGTTTGGAAACTGCGCCATCTAAAGGAATGTTCAGCTCTGTTAGTTCAATGCAATGATCACTAAGAATTGTCTGTGAATGATTCCGTTTGGTTTTTAGATGAAGTTATTTCCTTTACTACAGTAGGCCTCAAAGCAGTCCAAATCTCCAATCGCAGATTCTACAAAAAGATTGTTTACAACCTGCTCTATCTATAGGAATGTTCAACTCTGTGAGTCGAATGCAATCATCACAAAGTAGTTTCTGAGAATGCTTCCATCTAGTTTTTATGTGAAGATTTTCCTTTTCCACCACAGGCCTCAAAGCCCTCCAAATGTCCACTTGCAGATTCTAGAATAAGAGGGTTTCAGAGCTGCTCTGTCAAGAGGAAAGTACAATTCCTGAAGTGGAACACAAACATCACAAAGCAGTTTCTGAGAATGCTTCTGTTTAGTTTTTCTGTGAAGATGAACCCGTTTCCAACGAAATCTTCACAGAGGTCCACATATCCACTTGCAGAATCCAAAGAAAGAGAGTTTCAAAACTGCTCCATCAGCAGGATTGTTCACCTCTGTGAGTTGAATGCAGTCATCACAGGAAACATTCTGAGAATGCTTCTGTCTAGGTTTGATGTGAAGATATACCCGTTTCGAAGGAAGGCCACAAAGTGGTCCAAATATCCACTTGCAGATTCTACAAAAAGAGTGTTTGAAAGCTGAACTATGAAAGCAAGGTTCAACTCTGTGAGTTGAATGCAAACATCACAAAGAAGTTTCTCAGAATGCTTCCGTGTAGTTCTGGGAAGTTTATCCCGTTTCCAACGAAATCCTCAGAGAGGTCGAAATATCCACTTGCAGATTCTACAGAAAGTGTGTTTGGAAACTGCGCCATCTAAAGGAATGTTCAGCTCTGTTAGTTCAATCCAATGATCACTAAGAATTGTCTGTGAATGCTTCCGTTTGGTTTTTAGATGAAGTTATTTCCTTTACTACAGTAGGCCTCAAAGCAGTCCAAATCTCCAATCGCAGATTCTACAAAAAGATTGTTTACAACCTGCTCTCTCTATAGGAATGTTCAACTCTGTGAGTCGAATGCAACCATCACAAAGTAGTTTCTGAGAATGCTTCCATCTAGTTTTTATGTGAAGATTTTCCTTTTCCACCACAGGCCTCAAAGCCCTCCAAATGTCCACTTGCAGATTCTAGAAAAAGAGGGTTTCAGAGCTGCTCTGTCAAGAGGAAAGTTCAATTCTTGAAGTGGAACACAAACATCACAAAGCAGTTTCTGAGAATGCTTCTGTTTAGTTTTTCTGTGAAGATGAACCCGTTTCCAACGAAATCTTCACAGAGGTCCACATATCAACTTGCAGAATCCAAAGAAAGAGAGTTTCAAAACTGCTCCATCAACAGGATTGTTCACCTCTGTGAGTTGAATGCAGTCATCACAGGAAACATTCTGAGAATGCTTCTGTCTACGTTTGATGTGAAGATATACCCGTTTCGAAGGAAGGCCACAAAGTGGTCCAAATATCCACTTGCAGATTCTACAAAAAGAGTGTTTGAAAGCTGAACTATGAAAGCAAGGTTCAACTCTGTGAGTTGAATGCAAACATCACAGAGAAGTTTCTCAGAATGCTTCCGTGTAGTTCTGGGACGTTTATCCCGTTTCCAACGAAATCCTCAGAGAAGTCCAAATATCCACTTGCAGATTCTACAGAAAGTGTGTTTGGAAACTGCGCCATCTAAAGGAATGTTCAGCTCTGTTAGTTCAATGCAATGATCACTAAGAATTGTCTGTGAATGCTTCCACTTGGTTTTTAGATGAAGTTATTTCCTTTACTACTGTAGGCCTCAAAGCAGTCCAAATCTCCAATCGCAGATTCTACAAATGATTGTTTACAACCTGCTCTATCTATAGGAATGTTCAACTCTGTGAGTCGAATGCAATCATCACAAAGTAGTTTCTGAGAATGCTTCCATCTAGTTTTTATGTGAAGATTTTCCTTTTCCACCACAGGCCTCAAAGCCCTCCAAATGTCCACTTGCAGATTCTAGAATAAGAGGGTTTCAGAGCTGCTCTGTCAAGAGGAAAGTTCAATTCCTGAAGTGGAACACAAACATCACAAAGCAGTTTCTGAGAATGCTTCTGTTTAGTTTTTCTGTGAAGATGAACCCGTTTCCAACGAAATCTTCACAGAGGTCCACATATCCACTTGCAGAATCCAAAGAAAGAGAGTTTCAAAACTGCTCCATCAGCAGGATTGTTCACCTCTGTGAGTTGAATGCAGTCATCACAGGAAACATTCTGAGAATGCTTCTGTCTAGGTTTGATGTGAAGATATACCCGTTTCCAAGGAAGGCCACAAAGTGGTCCAAATATCCACTTGCAGATTCTACAAAAGGAGTGTTTGAAAGCTGAACTATGAAAGCAAGGTTCAACTCTGTGAGTTGAATGCAAACATCACAAAGAAGTTTCTCACAATGCTTCCGTGTAGTTCTGGGAAGTTTATCCCGTTTCCAATGAAATCCTCAGAGAAGTCCAAATATCCACTTGCAGATTCTACAGAAAGTGTGTTTGGAAACTGCTCCATCTAAAGGAATGTTCAGCTCTGTTAGTTCAATCCAATGATCACTAAGAATTGTCTGTGAATGCTTCCGTTTGGTTTTTAGATGAAGTTATTTCCTTTACTACAGTAGGCCTCAAAGCAGTCCAAATCTCCAATCGCAGATTCTACAAAAAGATTGTTTAGAACCTGCTCTATCTATAGGAATGTTCAACTCTGTGAGTCGAATGCAATCATCACAAAGTAGTTTCTGAGAATGCTTCCATCTAGTTTTTATGTGAAGATTTTCCTTTTCCACCACAGGCCTCAAAGCCCTCCAAATGTCCACTTGCAGATTCTAGAAAAAGAGGGTTTCAGAGCTGCTCTGTCAAGAGGAAAGTTCAATTCTTGAAGTGGAACACAAACATCACAAAGCAGTTTCTGAGAATGTTCCTGTTTAGTTTTTCTGTGAAGATGAACCCGTTTCCAACGAAATCTTCACAGAGGTCCACATATCCACTTGCAGAATCCAAAGAAAGAGAGTTTCAAAACTGCTCCATCAGCAGGATTGTTCACCTCTGTGAGTTGAATGCAGTCATCACAGGAAACATTCTGAGAATGCTTCTGTCTAGGTTTGATGTGAAGATATACCCGTTTCGAAGGAAGGCCACAAAGTGGTCCAAATATCCACTTGCAGATTCTACAAAAAGAGTGTTTGAAAGCTGAACTATGAAAGCAAGGTTCAACTCTGTGAGTTGAATGCAAACATCACAAAGAAGTTTCTCACAATGCATCCGTGTAGTTCTGGGAAGTTTATCCCGTTTCCAACGAAATCCTCAGAGAAGTCCAAATATCCACTTGCAGATTCTACAGAAAGTGGGTTTGGAAACTGCTCCATCTAAAGGAATGTTCAGCTCTGTTAGTTCAATCCAATGATCACTAAGAATTGTCTGTGAATGCTTCCGTTTGGTTTTTAGATGAAGTTATTTCCTTTACTACAGTAGGCCTCAAAGCAGTCCAAATCTCCAATCGCAGATTCTACAAAAAGATTGTTTACAACCTGCTCTATCTATAGGAATGTTCAACTCTGTGAGTCGAATGCAATCATCACAAAGTAGTTTCTGAGAATGCTTCCATCTAGTTTTTATGGGAAGATTTTCCTTTTCCACCACAGGCCTCAAAGCCCTCCAAATGTCCACTTGCAGATTCTAGAAAAAGAGGGTTTCAGAGCTGCTCTGTCAAGAGGAAAGTTCAATTCTTGAAGTGGAACACAAACATCACAAAGCAGTTTCTGAGAATGCTCCTGTTTAGTTTTTCTGTGAAGATGAACCCGTTTCCAACGAAATCTTCACAGAGGTCCACATATCCACTTGCAGAATCCAAAGAAAGAGAGTTTCAAAACTGCTCCATCAGCAGGATTGTTCACCTCTGTGAGTTGAATGCAGTCATCACAGGAAGCATTCTGAGAATGCTTCTGTCTAGGTTTGATGTGAAGATATACCCGTTTCGAAGGAAGGCCACAAAGTGGTCCAAATATCCACTTGCAGATTCTACAAAAAGAGTGTTTGAAAGCTGAACTATGAAAGCAAGGTTCAACTCTGTGAGTTGAATGCAAACATCACAAAGAAGTTTCTCACAATGCTTCCGTGTAGTTCTGGGAAGTTTATCCCGTTTCCAACGAAATCCTCAGAGAAGTCCAAATATCCACTTGCAGATTCTACAGAAAGTGGGTTTGGAAACTGCTCCATCTAAAGGAATGTTCAGCTCTGTTAGTTCAATCCAATGATCACTAAGAATTGTCTGTGAATGCTTCCGTTTGATTTTTAGATGAAGTTATTTCCTTTACTACAGTAGGCCTCAAAGCAGTCCAAATCTCCAATCGCAGATTCTACAAAAAGATTGTTTACAACCTGCTCTATCTATAGGAATGTTCAACTCTGTGAGTCGAATGCAATCATCACAAAGTAGTTTCTGAGAATGCTTCCATCTAGTTTTTATGTGAAGATTTTCCTTTTCCACCGCAGGCCTCAAAGCCCTCCAAATGTCAACTTGCAGATTCTAGAAAAAGAGGGTTTCAGAGCTGCTCTGTCAAGAGGAAAGTTCAATTCCTGAAGTGGAACACAAACATCACAAAGCAGTTTCTGAGAATGCTCCTGTTTAGTTTTTCTGTGAAGATGAACCCGTTTCCAACGAAATCTACACAGAGGTCCACATATCCACTTGCACAATCCAAAGAAAGAGAGTTTCAAAACTGCTCCATCAGCAGGATTGTTCACCTCTGTGAGTTGAATGCAGTCATCACAGGAAACATTCTGAGAATGCTTCTGTCTAGGTTTGATGTGAAGATATACCCGTTTGGAAGGAAGGCCACAAAGTGGTCCAAATATCCACTTGCAGATTCTACAAAAAGAGTGTTTGAAAGCTGAACTATGAAAGCAAGGTTCAACTCTGTGAGTTGAATGCAAACATCACAAAGAAGTTTCTCAGAATACTTCCGTGTAGTTCTGGGAAGTTTATCCCGTTTCCAACGAAATCCTCAGAGAAGTCCAAATATCCACTTGCAGATTCTACAGAAAGTGTGTTTGGAAACTGCTCCATCTAAAGGAATGTTCAGCTCTGTTAGTTCAATCCAATATCACTTAGAATTATCTGTGAATGCTTCCGTTTGGTTTTTAGATGAAGTTATTTCCTTTACTACAGTAGGCCTCAAAGCAGTCCAAACCTCCAATCGCAGATTCTACAAAAAGATTGTTTTCAACCTGCTCTATCTATAGGAATGTTCAACTCTGTGAGTCGAATGCAATCATCCCAAAGTAGTTTCTGAGAATGCTTCCATCTAGTTTTTATGTGAAGAGTTTCCTTTTCCACCACAGGCCTCAAAGCCCTCCAAATGTCCACTTGCAGATTCTAGAAAAAGAGGGTTTCAGAGCTGCTCTGTCAAGAGGAAAGTTCAATTCTTGAAGTGGAACACAAACATCACAAAGCAGTTTCTGAGAATGCTTCTGTTTAGTTTTTCTGTGAAGATGAACCCGTTTCCAACGAAATCTTCACAGAGGTCCACATATCCACTTGCAGAATCCAAAGAAAGAGAGTTTCAAAACTGCTCCATCAGCAGGATTGTTCACCTCTGTGAGTTGAATGCAGTCATCACAGGAAACATTCTGAGAATGCTTCTGTCTAGGTTTGATGTGAAGATATACCCGTTTCGAAGGAAGGCCAGAAAGTGGTCCAAATATCCACTTGCAGATTCTACAAAAAGAGTGTTTGAAAGCTGAACTATGAAAGCAAGGTTCAACTCTGTGAGTTGAATGCAAACATCACAAAGAAGTTTCTCAGAATGCTTCCGTGTAGTTCTGGGAAGTTTATCCCGTTTCCAACGAAATCCTCAGAGAGGTCCAAATATCCACTTGCAGATTCTACAGAAAGTGTGTTTGGAAACTGCGCCATCTAAAGGAATGTTCAGCTCTGTTAGTTCAATGCAATGATCACTAAGAATTGTCTGTGAATGCTTCCGTTTGGTTTTTAGATGAAGTTATTTCCTTTACTACAGTAGGCCTCAAAGCAGTCCAAATCTCCAATCGCAGATTCTACAAAAAGATTGTTTACAACCTGCTCTATCTATAGGAATGTTCAACTCTGTGAGTCGAATGCAATCATCACAAAGTAGTTTCTGAGAATGCTTCCATCTAGTTTTTATGTGAAGATTTTCCTTTTCCACCACAGGCCTCAAAGCCCTCCAAATGTCCACTTGCAGATTCTAGAAAAAGAGGGTTTCAGAGCTGCTCTGTCAAGAGGAAAGTTCAATTCCTGAAGTGGAACACAAACATCACAAAGCAGTTTCTGAGAATGCTCCTGTTTAGTTTTTCTTTGAAGATGAACCCGTTTCCAACGAAATCTTCACAGAGGTCCACATATCCACTTGCAGAATCCAAAGAAAGAGAGTTTCAAAACTGCTCCATCAGCAGGATTGTTCACCTCTGTGAGTTGACTGCAGTCATCACAGGAAACATTCTGAGAATGCTTCTGTCTAGGTTTGATGTGAAGGTATACCCGTTTCGAAGGAAGGCCACAAAGTGGTCCAAATATCCACTTGCAGATTCTACAAAAAGAGTGTTTGAAAGCTGAACTATGAAAGCAAGGTTCAACTATGTGAGTTGAATGCAAACATCACAAAGAAGTTTCTCAGCATGCTTCCGTGTAGTTCTGGGAAATTTATCCCGTTTCCAACGAAATCCTCAGAGAGGTCCAAATATCCACTTGCAGATTCTACAGAAAGTGTGTTTGGAAACTGCGCCATCTAAAGGAATGTTCAGCTCTGTTAGTTCAATCCAATGATCACTAAGAATTGTCTGTGAATGCTTCCGTTTGGTTTTTAGATGAAGTTATTTCCTTTACTACAGTAGGCCTCAAAGCAGTCCAAATCTCCAATCGCAGATTCTACAAAAAGATTGTTTACAACCTGCTCTATCTATAGGAATGTTCAACTCTGTGAGTCGAATGCAATCATCACAAAGTAGTTTCTGAGAATGCTTCCATCTAGTTTTTATGTGAAGATTTTCCTTTTCCACCACAGGCCTCAAAGCCCTCCAAATGTCCACTTGCAGATTCTAGAAAAAGAGGGTTTCAGAGCTGCTCTGTCAAGAGGAAAGTTCAATTCTTGAAGTGGAACACAAACATCACAAAGTAGTTTCTGAGAATGCTTCTGTTTAGTTTTTCTGTGAAGACGAACCCGTTTCCAACGAAATCTTCACAGAGGTCCACATATCCACTTGCAGAATCCAAAGAAAGAGAGTTTCAAAACTGCTCCATCAGCAGGATTGTTCACCTCTGTGAGTCGAATGCAGTCATCACAGGAAACATTCTGAGAATGCTTCTGTCTAGGTTTGATGTGAAGATATACCCGTTTCGAAGGAAGGCCACAAAGTGGTCCAAATATCCACTTGCAGATTCTACAAAAAGAGTGTTTGAAAGCTGAACTATGAAAGCAAGGTTCAACTCTGTGAGTTGAATGCAAACATCACAAAGAAGTTTCTCAGCATGCTTCCGTGTAGTTCTGGGAAGTTTATCCCGTTTCCAACGAAATCCTCAGAGAAGTCCAAATATCCACTTGCAGATTCTACAGAAAGTGTGTTTGGAAACTGCTCCATCTAAAGGAATGTTCAGCTCTGTTAGTTCAATCCAATGATCACTAAGAATTGTCTGTGAATGCTTCCGTTTGGTTTTTAGATGAAGTTATTTCCTTTACTACAGTAGGCCTCAAAGCAGTCCAAATCTCCAATCGCAGATTCTACAAAAAGATTGTTTACAACCTGCTCTATGTATAGGAATGTTCAACTCTGTGAGTCGAATGCAATCATCACAAAGTAGTTTCTGAGAATGCTTCCATCTAGTTTTTATGTGAAGATTTTCCTTTTCCACCACAGGCCTCAAAGCCCTCCAAATGTCCACTTGCAGATTCTAGAATAAGAGGGTTTCAGAGCTGCTCTGTCAAGAGGAAAGTTCAATTCCTGAAGTGGAACACAAACATCACAAAGCAGTTTCTGAGAATGCTTCTGTTTAGTTTTTCTGTGAAGATGAACCCGTTTCCAACGAAATCTTCACAGAGGTCCACATATCCACTTGCAGAATCCAAAGAAAGAGAGTTTCAAAACTGCTCCATCAGCAGGATTGTTCACCTCTGTGAGTTGAATGCAGTCATCACAGGAAACATTCTGAGAATGCTTCTGTCTAGGTTTGATGTGAAGATATACCCGTTTCGAAGGAAGGCCACAAAGTGGTCCAAATATCCACTTGCAGATTCTACAAAAAGAGTGTTTGAAAGCTGAACTATGAAAGCAAGGTTCAACTCTGTGAGTTGAATGCAAACATCACAAAGAAGTTTCTCAGAATGCTTCCCTGTAGTTCTGGGACGTTTATCCCGTTTCCAACGAAATCCTCAGAGAAGTCCAAATATCCACTTGCAGATTCTACAGAAAGTGTGTTTGGAAACTGCTCCATCTAAAGGAATGTTCAGCTCTGTTAGTTCAATCCAATGATCACTAAGAATTGTCTGTGAATGCTTCCGTTTGGCTTTTAGATGAAGTTATTTCCTTTACTACAGTAGGCCTCAAAGCAGTCCAAATCTCCAATCGCAGATTCTACGAAAAGATTGTTTACAACCTGCTCTATCTATAGGAATGTTCAACTCTGTGAGTCGAATGCAATCATCACAAAGTAGTTTCTGAGAATGCTTCCATCTAGTTTTTATGTGAAGATTTTCCTTTTCCACCACAGGCCTCAAAGCCCTCCAAATGTCCACTTGCAGATTCTAGAAAAAGAGGGTATCAGAGCTGCTCTGTCAAGACGAAAGTTCAATTCTTGAAGTGGAACACAAACATCACAAAGCAGTTTCTGAGAATGCTTCTGTTTAGTTTTTCTGTGAAGATGAACCCGTTTCCAACGAAATCTTCACAGAGGTCCACATATCCACTTGCAGAATCCAAAGAAAGAGAGTTTCAAAACTGCTCCATCAGCAGGATTGTTCACCTCTGTGAGTTGAATGCAGTCATCACAGGAAACATTCTGAGAATGCTTCTGTCTAGGTTTGATGTGAAGATATACCCGTTTCGAAGGAAGGCCACAAAGTGGTCCAAATATCCACTTGCAGATTCTACAAAAAGAGTGTTTGAAAGCTGAACTATGAAAGCAAGGTTCAACTCTGTGAGTTGAATGCAAACATCACAAAGAAGTTTCTCAGAATGCTTCCGTGTAGTTCTGGGAAGTTTATCCCGATTCCAACGAAATCCTCAGAGAAGTCCAAATATCCACTTGCATATTCTACAGAAAGTGTGTTTGGAAACTGCTCCATCTAAAGGAATGTTCAGCTCTGTTAGTTCAATCCAATGATCACTAAGAATTGTCTGTGAATGCTTCCGTTTGGTTTTTAGATGAAGTTATTTCCTTTACTACAGTAGGCCTCAAAACAGTCCAAATATCCAATCGCAGATTCCACAAAAATATTGTTTACAACCTGCTCTATCTATAGGAATGTTCAACTCTGTGAGTCGAATGCAATCATCACAAAGTAGTTTCTGAGAATGCTTCCATCTAGTTTTTATGTGAAGATTTTCCTTTTCCACCACAGGCCTCAAAGCCCTCCAAATGTCCACTTGCAGATTCTAGAAAAAGAGGGTTTCAGAGCTGCTCTGTCAAGAGGAAATTCCAATTCTTGAAGTGGAACACAAACATCACAAAGCAGTTTCTGAGAATGCTCCTGTTTAGTTTTTATGTGAAGATGAACCCGTTTCCAACGAAATCTTCAAACAGGTCCACACATCCATTTGCAGATTCCAAAGAAAGATAGTTTCAAAACTGCTCCATCAACAGGATTGTTCACCTCTGTGAGTTGAATGCAGTCATCACAGGAGACATTCTGAGAATGCTTCTGTCTAGGTTTGATGTGAAGATATACCCGTTTCGAAGGAAGGCCACAAAGTGGTCCAAATATCCACTTGCAGATTCTACAAAAAGAGTGTTTGAAAGCTGAACTATGAAAGCAAGGTTGAACTCTGTGAGTTGAATGCAAACATCACAAAGAAGTTTCTCAGAATGCTTCCGTGTAGTTCTGGGAAATTTAGCCCGTTTCCAACGAAATCCTCAGAAAGGTCCAAATATCCACTTGCAGATTCTACAGAAAGTGTGTTTGGAAACTGCTCCATCTAAAGGAATGTTCAGCTCTGTTGGTTCAATCCAATGATCACTAAGAATTGTCTGTGAATGCTTCCGTTTGGTTTTTAGATGAAGTTATTTCCTTTACTAGAGTAGGCCTCAAAGCAGTCCAAATCTCCAATCGCAGATTCTACAAAAAGATTGTTTACAACCTGCTCTATCTATAGGAATGTTCAACTCTGTGAGTCGAATGCAATCATCACAAAGTAGTTTCTGAGAATGCTTCCATCTAGTTTTTATGTGAAGAAGTTTCCTTTTCCACCACAGGCCTCAAAGCCCTCCAAATGTCCACTTGCAGATTCTAGAAAAAGAGGGTTTCAGAGTTGCTCTGTCAAGAGGAAAGTTCAATTCCTGAAGTGGAACACAAACATCACAAAGCAGTTTCTGAGAAGGCTCCTGTTTAGTTTTTCTGTGAAGATGAACCCGTTTCCAACGAAATCTTCACAGAGATCCACATATCAACTTGCAGAATCCAAAGAAAGAGAGTTTCAAAAGTGCTCCATCAACAGGATTGTTCACCTCTGCTAGTTGAATGCAGTCATCACAGGAAACATTCTGAGAATGCTTCTGTCTAGGTTTGATGTGAAGATATACCCGTTTCGAAGGAAGGCCAGAAAGTGGTCCAAATATCCACTTGCAGATTCTACAAAAAGAGTGTTTGAAAGCTGAACTATGAAAGCAAGGTTCAACTCTGTGAGTTGAATGCAAACATCACAAAGAAGTTTCTCAGAATGCTTCCGTGTAGTTCTGGGAAGTTTATCCCGTTTCCAACGAAATCCTCAGAGAAGTCCAAATATCCACTTGCAGATTCTACAGAAAGTGTGTTTGGAAACTGCTCCATCTAAAGGAATGTTCAGCTCTGTTAGTTCAATGCAATGATCACTAAGAATTGTCTGTGAATGCTTCCGTTTGGTTTTTAGATGAAGTTATTTCCTTTACTACAGTAGGCCTCAAAGCAGTCCAAATCTCCAATCGCAGATTCTACAAAAAGATTGTTTACAACCTTCTCTATCTATAGGAATGTTCAACTCTGTGAGTCGAATGCAATCATCACAAAGTAGTTTCTGAGAATGCTTCCATCTAGTTTTTATGTGAAGATTTTCCTTTTCCACCACAGGCCTCAAAGCCCTCCAAATGTCCACTTGCAGATTCTAGAAAAAGAGGGTTTCAGAGCTGCTCTGTCAAGAGGAAAGTTCAATTCTTGAAGTGGAACACAAACATCACAAAGCAGTTTCTGAGAATGCTTCTGTTTAGTTTTTCTGTGAAGATGAACCCGTTTCCAACGAAATCTTCAGAGAGGTCCCCATATCAACTTGCAGAATCCAAAGAAAGAGAGTTTCAAAACTGCTCCATCAACAGGATTGTTCACCTCTGTGAGTTGAATGCAGTCATCACAGGAAACATTCTGAGAATGCTTCTGTCTAGGTTTGATGTGAAGATATACCCGTTTCGAAGGAAGGCCACAAAGTGGTCCAAATATCCACTTGCAGATTCTACAAAAAGAGTGTTTGAAAGCTGGACTATGAAAGCAAGGTTCAACTCTGTGAGTTGAATGCAAACATCACAAAGAAGTTTCTCAGAATGCTTCCGTGTAGTTCTGGGAAGTTTATCCCGTTTCCAACGAAATCCTCAGAGAGGTCCAAATATCCACTTGCAGATTCTACAGAAAGTGTGTTTGGAAACTGCGCCATCTAAAGGAATGTTCAGCTCTGTTAGTTCAATGCAATGATCACTAAGAATTGTCTGTGAATGCTTCCGTTTGGTTTTTAGATGAAGTTATTTCCTTTACTACAGTAGGCCTCAAAGCAGTCCAAATCTCCAATCGCAGATTCTACAAAAAGATTGTTTACAACCTGCTCTATCTATAGGAATGTTCAACTCTGTGAGTCGAAAGCCATCATCACAAAGTAGTTTCTGAGAATGCTTCCATCTAGTTTTTATGGGAAGATTTTCCTTTTCCACCACAGGCCTCAAAGCCCTCCAAATGTCCACTTGCAGATTCTAGAAAAAGAGGGTTTCAGAGCTGCTCTGTCAAGAGGAAAGTTCAATTCTTGAAGTGGAACACAAACATCACAAAGCAGTTTCTGAGAATGCTCCTGTTTAGTTTTTCTGTGAAGATGAACCCGTTTCCAACGAAATCTTCACAGAGGTCCACATATCCACTTCCAGAATCCAAAGAAAGAGAGTTTCAAAACTGCTCCATCAGCAGGATTGTTCACCTCTGTGAGTTGAATGCAGTCATCACAGGAAACATTCTGAGAATGCTTCTGTCTAGGTTTGATGTGAAGATATACCCGTTTCGAAGGAAGGCCACAAAGTGGTCCAAATATCCACTTGCAGATTCTACAAAAAGAGTGTTTGAAAGCTGAACTATGAAAGCAAGGTTCAACTCTGTGAGTTGAATGCAAACATCACAAAGAAGTTTCTCAGAATGCTTCCGTGTAGTTCTGGGAAGTTTATCCCGTTTCCAACGAAATCCTCAGAGAAGTCCAAATATCCACTTGCAGATTCTACAGAAAGTGTGTTTGGAAACTGCGCCATCTAAAGGAATGTTCAGCTCTGTTAGTTCAATGCAATGATCACTAAGAATTGTCTGTGAATGCTTCCGTTTGGTTTTTAGATGAATTTATTTCCTTTACTACAGTAGGCCTCAAAGCAGTCCAAATCTCCAATCGCAGATTATACAAAAAGATTGTTTACAACCTGCTCTATCTATAGGAATGTTCAACTCTGTGAGTCGAATGCAATCATCACAATGTAGTTTCTGAGAATGCTTCCATCTAGTTTTTATGTGAAGATTTTCCTTTTCCACCTCAGGCCTCAAAGCCCTCCAAATGTCCACTTGCAGATTCTAGAATAAGAGGGTTTCAGAGCTGCTCTGTCAAGAGGAAAGTTCAATTCCTGAAGTGGAACACAAACATCACACAGCAGTTTCTGAGAATGCTTCTGTTTAGTTTTTCTGTGAAGATGAACCCGTTTCCAACGAAATCTTCACAGAAGTCCACATATCCACTTGCAGAATCCAAAGAAAGAGAGTTTCAAAACTGCTCCATCAGCAGGATTGTTCACCTCTGTGAGTTGAATGCAGTCATCACAGGAAACATTCTGAGAATGCTTCTGTCTAGGTTTGATGTGAAGATATACCCGTTTCGAAGGAAGGCCACAAAGTGGTCCAAATATCCACTTGCAGATTCTACAAAAAGAGTGTTTGAAAGCTGAACTATGAAAGCAAGGTTCCCCTCTGTGAGTTGAATGCAAACATCACAAAGAAGTTTCTCAGAATGCTTCCTTGTAGTTCTGGGAAGTTTATCCCGTTTCCAACGAAATCCTCAGAGAGGTCCAAATATCCACTTGCAGATTCTACAGAAAGTGTGTTTGGAACCTGCGCCATCTAAAGGAATGTTCAGCTCTGTTAGTTCAATGCAATGATCACTAAGAATTGTCTGTGAATGCTTCCGTTTGGTTTTTAGATGAAGTTATTTCCTTTACTACAGTATGCCTCAATGCAGTCCAAATCTCCAATCGCAGATTCTACAAAAAGATTGTTTACAACCTGCTCTATCTATGGGAATGTTCAACTCTGTGAGTCGAATGCAATCATCATACAGTAGTTTCTGAGAATGCTTCCATCTAGTTTTTATGTGAAGATTTTCCTTTTCCACCACAGGCCTCAAAGCCCTCCAAATGTCCACTTGCAGATTCTAGAATAAGAGGGTTTCAGAGCTGCTCTGTCAAGAGGAAAGTTCAATTCCTGAAGTGGAACACAAATATCACAAAGCAGTTTCTGAGAATGCTTCTGTTTAGTTTTTCTGTGAAGATGAACCCGTTTCCAACGAAATCTTCACAGAGGTCCACATATCAACTTGCAGAATCCAAAGAAAGAGAGTTTCAAAACTGCTCCATCAACAGGATTGTTCACCTCTGTGAGTTGAATGCAGTCATCACAGGAAACATTCTGAGAATGCTTCTGTCTAGGTTTGATGTGAAGATATACCCGTTTCGAAGGAAGGCCACAAAGTGGTCCAAATATCCACTTGCAGATTCTACAAAAAGAGTGTTTGAAAGCTGAACTATGAAAGCAAGGTTCAACTCTGTGAGTTGAATGCAAACATCACAAAGAAGTTTCTCAGAATGCTTCCGTGTAGTTCTGGGAAGTTTATCCCGTTTCCAACGAAATCCTCAGAGAGGTCCAAATATCCACTTGCAGATTCTACAGAAAGTGTGTTTGGAAACTGCGCCATCTAAAGGAATGTTCAGCTCTGTTAGTTCAATGCAATGATCACTAAGAATTGTCTGTGAATGCTTCCGTTTGGTTTTTAGATGAAGTTATTTCCTTTACTACAGTAGGCCTCAAAGCAGTCCAAATCTCCAATCGCAGATTCTACAAAAAGATTGTTTACAACCTGCTCTATCTATAGGAATGTTCAACTCTGTGAGTCGAATGCAATCATCACAAAGTAGTTTCTGAGAATGCTTCCATCTAGTTTTTATGTGAAGATTTTCCTTTTCCACCACAGGCCTAAAAGCCCTCCAAATGTCCACTTGCAGATTCTAGAAAAAGAGGGTTTCAGAGCTGCTCTGTCAAGAGGAAAGTTCAATTCTTGAAGTGGAACACAAACATCACAAAGCAGTTTCTGAGAATGCTTCTGTTTAGTTTTTCTGTGAAGATGAACCCGTTTCCAACGAAATCTTCACAGAGGTCCACATATCAACTTGCAGAATCCAAAGAAAGAGAGTTTCAAAAGTGCTCCATCAACAGGATTGTTCACCTCTGTGAGTTGAATGCAGTCATCACAGGAAACATTCTGAGAATGCTTCTGTCTAGGTTTGATGTGAAGATATACCCGTTTCGAAGGAAGGCCACAAAGTGGTCCAAATATCCACTTGCAGATTCTACAAAAAGAGTGTTTGAAAGCTGAACTATGAAAGCAAGGTTCAACACTGTGAGTTGAATGCAAACATCACAAAGAAGTTTCTCACAATGCTTCCGTGTAGTTCTGGGAAGTTTATCCCGTTTCCAACGAAATCCTCAGAGAGGTCCAAATATCCACTTGCAGATTCTACAGAAAGTGTGTTTGGAAACTGCGCCATCTAAAGGAATGTTCAGCTCTGTTAGTTCAATGCAATGATCACTAAGAATTGTCTGTGAATGCTTCCGTTTGGTTTTTAGATGAAGTTATTTCCTTTACTACAGTAGGCCTCAAAGCAGTCCAAATCTCCAATCGCAGATTCTACAAAAAGATTGTTTACAACCTGCTCTATCTATAGGAATGTTCAACTCTGTGAGTCGAATGCAATCATCACAAAGTAGTTTCTGAGAATGCTTCCATCTAGTTTTTATGTGAAGATTTTCCTTTTCCACCACAGGCCTCAAAGCCCTCCAAATGTCCACTTGCAGATTCTAGAAAAAGAGGGTTTCAGAGCTGCTCTGTCAAGAGGAAAGTTCAATTCTTGAAGTGGAACACAAACATCACAAAGCAGTTTCTGAGAATGCTCCTGTTAATTTTTCTGTGAAGATGAACCCGTTTCCAACGAAATCTTCACAGAGGTCCACATATCCACTTGCAGAATCAAAAGAAAGGGAGTTTCAAAACGGCTCCATCAACAGGATTGTTCACCTCTGTGAGTTGAATGCAGTCATCACAGGAAACATTCTGAGAATGCTTCTGTCTAGGTTTGATGTGAAGATATACCCGTTTCGAAGGAAGGCCACAAAGTGGTCCAAATATCCACTTGCAGATTCTACAAAAAGAGTGTTTGAAAGCTGAACTATGAAAGCAAGGTTCAACTCTGTGAGTTGAATGCAAACATCACAAAGAAGTTTCTCAGAATGCTTCCGTGTAGTTCTGGGAAGTATATCCCGTTTCCAACGAAATCCTCAGAGAAGTCCAAATATCCACTTGCAGATTCTACAGAAAGTGTGTTTGGAAAATGCTCCATCTAAAGGAATGTTCAGCTCTGTTAGTTCAATGCAATGATCACTAAGAATTGTCTGTGAATGCTTCCGTTTGGATTTTAGATGAAGTTATTTCCTTTACTACAGTAGGCCTCAAAGCAGTCCAAATCTCCAATCGCAGATTCTACAAAAAGATTGCTTACAACCTGCTCTATCTATAGGAATGTTCAACTCTGTGAGTCGAATGCAATCATCACAAAGTAGTTTCTGAGAATGCTTCCATCTAGTTTTTATGTGAAGATTTTCCTTTTCCACCACAGGCCTCAAAGCCCTCCAAATGTCCACTTGCAGATTCTAGAAAAAGAGGGTTTCAGAGCTGCTCTGTCAAGAGGAAAGTTCAGTTCTTGAAGTGGAACACAAACATCACAAAGCAGTTTCTGAGAATGCTCCTTTTTAGTTTTTCTGTGAAGATGAACCCGTTTCCAACGAAATGTTCACAGAGGTCCACATATCCACTTGCAGAATCCAAAGAATGAGAGTTTCAAAACTGCTCCATCAGCAGGATTGTTCACCTCTGTGAGTTGAATGCAGTCATCACAGGAAACATTCTGAGAATGCTTCTGTCTAGGTTTGATGTGAAGATATACCCGTTTCGAAGGAAGGCCACAAAGTGGTCCAAATATCCACTTGCAGATTCCACAAAAAGAGTGTTTGAAAGCTGAACTATGAAAGCAAGGTTCAACTCTGTGAGGTGAATGCAAACATCACAAAGAAGATTCTCACAATGCTTCCGTGTATTTCTGGGAAGTATATCCCGTTTCCAACAAAATCCTCAGAGAGGTCCAAATATCCACTTGCAGATTCTACAGAAAGTGGGTTTGGAAACTGCTCCATCTAAAGGAATGTTCAGCTCTGTTAGTTCAATCCAATGATCACTAAGAATTGTCTGTGAATGCTTCCGTTTGGTTTTTAGATGAAGTTATTTCCTTTACTACAGTAGGCCTCAAAGCAGTCCAAATCTCCAATCGCAGATTCTACAAAAAGATTGTTTACAACCTGCTCTATCTATAGGAATGTTCAACTCTGTGAGTCGAATGCAATCATCACAAAGTAGTTTCTGAGAATGCTTCCATCTAGTTTTTATGTGAAGATTTTCCTTTTCCACCACAGGCCTCAAAGCCCTCCAAATGTCCACCTGCAGATTCTAGAAAAAGAGGGTTTCAGAGCTGCTCTGTCAAGAGGAATGTTCAATTCTTGAAGTGGAACACAAACATCACAAAGCAGTTTCTGAGAATGCTTCTGTTATTTTTTCTGTGAAGATGAACCCGTTTCCAACGAAATCTTCACAGAGGTCCACATATCCACTTGCAGAATCCAAAGAAAGAGAGTTTCAAAACTGCTCCATCAGCAGGATTGTTCACCTCTGTGAGTTGAATGCAGTCATCACAGGAAACATTCTGAGAATGCTTCTGTCTAGGTTTGATGTGAAGATATACCCGTTTCGAAGGAAGACCACAAATGGTCAAAATATCCACTTGCAGATTCTACAAAAAGAGTGTTTGAAAGCTGAACTATGAAAGCAAGGTTCAACTCTGTGTGTTGAATGCAAACTTCACAAAGAAGTTTCTCAGAATGCTTCCGTGTAGTTCTGGGAAGTTTATCCCGTTTCCAACGAAATCCTCAGAGAGGTCCAAATATCCACTTGCAGATTCTACAGAAAGTGTGTTTGGAAACTGCTCCATCTAAAGGAATGTTCAGCTCTGTTAGTTCAATGCAATGATCACTAAGAATTATCTGGGAATGCTTCCGTTTGGTTTTTAGATGAAGTTATTTCCTTTACTACAGTAGGCCTCAAAGCAGTCCAAATCTCCAATCGCAGATTCTACAAAAAGATTGTTTACAACCTGCTCTATCTATAGGAATGTTCAACTCTGTGAGTCGAATGCAATCATCACAAAGTAGCTTCTGAGAATGCTTCCATCTAGTTTTTATGTGAAGATTTTCCTTTTCCACCACAGGCCTCAAAGCCCTCCAAATGTCCACTTGCAGATTCTAGAAAAAGAGGGTTTCAGAGCTGCTCTGTCAAGAGGAAAGTTCAATTCTTGAAGTGGAACACAAACATCACAAAGCAGTTTCTGAGAATGCTTCTGTTTAGTTTTTCTGTGAAGATGAACCCGTTTCCAACGAAATCTACACAGAGGTCCACATATCCACTTGCAGAATCCAAAGAAAGAGAGTTTCAAAACTGCTCCATCAGCAGGATTGTTCACCTCTGTGAGTTGAATGCAGTCATCACAGGAAACATTCTGAGAATGCTTCTGTCTAGGTTTGATGTGAAGATATACCCGTTTCGAAGGAAGGCCACAAAGTGGTCCAAATATCCACTTGCAGATTCTACAAAAAGAGTGTTTGAAAGCTGAACTATGAAAGCAAGGTTCAACTCTGTGAGTTGAATGCAAACATCACAAAGAAGTTTCTCAGAATGCTTCCGTGTAGTTCTGGGAAGTTTATCCCGTTTCCAACGAAATCCTCAGAGAAGTCCAAATATCCACTTGCAGATTCTACAGAAAGTGTGTTTGGAAACTGCGCCGTCTAAAGCAATGTTCAGCTCTGTTAGTTCAATGCAATGATCACTAAGAATTGTCTGTGAATGCTTCCGTTTGGTTTTTAGATGAAGTTATTTCCTTTACTACAGTAGGCCTCAAAGCAGTCCAAATCTCCAATCGCAGATTCTACAAAAAGATTGTTTACAACCTGCTCTATCTATAGGAATGTTCAACTCTGTGAGTCGAATGCAATCATCACAAAGTAGTTTCTGAGAATGCTTCCATCTAGTTTTTATGTGAAGATTTTCCTTTTCCACCACAGGCCTCAAAGCCCTCCAAATGTCCACTTGCATATTCTAGAAAAAGAGGGTTTCAGAGCTGCTCTGTCAAGAGGAAAGTTCAATTCTTTAAGTGGAACACAAACATCACAAAGCAGTGTCTGAGAATGCTCCTGTTTAGTTTTTCTGTGAAGATGAACCCGTTTCCAACGAAATCTTCACAGAGGTCCACATATCCACTTGCAGAATCCAAAGAAAGAGAGTTTCAAAACTGCTCCATCAACAGGATTGTTCACCTCTCTGAGTTGAATGCAGTCATCACAGGCAAACATTCTGAGAATGCTTCTGTCTAGGTTTGATGTGAAGATATACCCGTTTCGAAGGAAGGCCACAAAGTGGTCCAAATATCCACTTGCAGATTCTACAAAAAGAGTGTATGAAAGCTGGACTATGAAAGCAAGGTTCAACTCTGTGAGTTGAATGCAAACATCACAAAGAAGTTTCTCAGAATGCTTCCGTGTAGTTCTGGGAAGTTTATCCCTTTTCCAACGAAATCCTCAGAGAGGTCCAAATATCCACTTGCAGATTCTACAGAAAGTGTGTTTGGAAACTGCGCCATCTAAAGGAATGCCCAGCTCTGTTAGTTCAATGCAATGATCACTAAGAATTGTCTGTGAATGCTTCCGTTTGGTTTTTAGATGAAGTTATTTCCTTTACTACAGTAGGCCTCAAAGCAGTCCAAATCTCTAATCGCAGATTCTACAAAAAGATTGTTTACAACCTGCTCTCTCTATAGGAATGTTCAACTCTGTCAGTCGAATGCAATCATCACAAAGTAGTTTTGAGAATGCTTCCATCCAGTTTTTATGTGAAGATTTTCCTTTTCCACCACAGGCCTCAAAGCCCTCCAAATGTCCACTTGCAGATTCTAGAAAAAGAGGGTTTCAGAGCTCCTCTATCAAGAGGAAAGTTCAATTCTTGAAGTGGAACACAAACATCACAAAGCAGTTTCTGAGAATGCTCCTGTTTAGTTTTTCTGTGAAGATGAACCCGTTTCCAACGAAATCTTCACAGAGGTCCACATATCCACTTGCAGAATCCAAAGAAAGAGAGTTTCAAAACTGCTCCATCAGCAGGATTGTTCACCTCTGTGAGTTGAATGCAGTCATCACAGGAAACATTCTGAGAATGCTTCTGTCTAGGTTTGATGTGAAGATATACCCGTTTCGAAGGAAGGCCAGAAAGTGGTCCAAATATCCACTTGCAGATTCTACAAAAAGAGTGTTTGAAAGCTGAACTATGAAAGCAAGGTTCAACTCTGTGAGTTGAATGCAAACATCACAAAGAAGTTTCTCAGAATGCTTCCGTGTAGTTCTGGGAAGTTTATCCCCTTTCCAACGAAATCCTCAGAGAGGTCCAAATATCCACTTGCAGATTCCACAGAAAGTGTGTTTGGAAACTGCGCCATCTAAAGGAATGTTCAGCTCTGTTAGTTCAATGCAATGATCACTAAGAATTGTCTGTGAATGCTCCGTTTGGTTTTTAGATGAAGTTATTTCCTTTACTACAGTAGGCTTCAAAGCAGTCCAAATCTCCAATCGCAGATTCTACAAAAAGATTGTTTACAACCTGCTCTATCTATAGGAATGTTCAACTCTGTGAGTCGAATGCAATCATCACAAAGTAGTTTCTGAGAATGCTCTCCATCTAGTTTTTATGTGAAGATTTTCCTTTTCCACCACAGGCCTCAAAGCCCTCCAAATGTCCACTTGCAGATTCTAGAAAAAGAGGGTTTCAGAGCTGCTCTGTCAAGAGGAAAGTTCAATTCTTGAAGTGGAACACAAACATCACAAAGCAGTTTCTGAGAATGCTTCTGTTTAGTTTTTCTGTGAAGATAAACCCGTTTCCAACGAAATCTTCACAGAGGTCCACATATCCACTTGCAGAATCCAAAGAAAGAGAGTTTCAAAACTGCTCCATCAGCAGGATTGTTCACCTCTGTGAGTTGAATGCAGTCATCACAGGAAACATTCTGAGAATGCTTCTGTCTAGGTTTGATGTGAAGATATACCCGTTTCGAAGGAAGGCCACAAAGTGGTCCAAATATCCACTTGCAGATTCTACAAAAAGAGTGTTTGAAAGCTGAACTATGAAAGCAAGGTTCAACTCTGTGAGTTGAATGCAAACATCACAAAGAAGTTTCTCACAATGCTTCCGTGTAGTTCTGGGAAGTTTATCCCATTTCCAACGAAATCCTCAGAGAAGTCCAAATATCCACTTGCAGATTCTGCAGAAAGTGTGTTTGGAAACTGCTCCATCTAAAGGAATGTTCAGCTCTGTTAGTTCAATCCAATGATCACTAAGAATTGTCTGTGAATGCTTCCGTTTGGTTTTTAGATGAAGTTATTTCCTTTACTACAGTAGGCCTCAAAGCAGTCCAAATCTCCAATCGCAGATTCTACAAAAAGATTGTTTACAACCTGCTCTATCTATAGGAATGTTCAACTCTGTGAGTCGAATGCAATCATCACAAAGTAGTTTCTGAGAATGCTTCCATCTAGTTTTTATGTGAAGATTTTCCTTTTCCACCACAGGCCTCAAAGCCCTCCAAATGTCCACTTGCAGATTCTAGAATAAGAGGGTTTTAGAGCTGCTCTGTCAAGAGGAAAGTTCAATTCCTGAAGTGGAACACAAACATCACAAAGCAGTTTCTGAGAATGCTCCTGTTTAGTTTTTCTGTGAAGATGAACCCGTTTCCAACGAAATCTTCACAGAGGTCCACATATCCACTTGCAGAATCCAAAGAAAGAGAGTTTCAAAACTGCTCCATCAGCAGGATTGTTCACCTCTGTGAGTTGAATGCAGTCATCACAGGAAACATTCTGAGAATGCTTCTGTCTAGGTTTGATGTGAAGATATACCCGTTTCGAAGGAAGGCCACAAAGTGGTCCAAATATCCACTTGCAGATTCTACAAAAAGAGTGTTTGAAAGCTGAACTATGAAAGCAAGGTTCAACTCTGTGAGGTGAATGCAAACATCCAAAGAAGTTTCTCAGAATGCTTCCCTGTAGTTCTGGGAAGTTTATCCCGTTTCCAACGAAATCCTCAGAGAAGTCCAAATATCCACTTGCAGATTCTACAGAAAGTGGGTTTGGAAACTGCTCCATCTAAAGGAATGTTCAGCTCTGTTAGTTCAATCCAATGATCACTAAGAATTGTCTGTGAATGTTTCCGTTTGGTTTTTAGATGAAGTTATTTCCTTTACTACAGTAGGCCTCAAAGCAGTCCAAATCTCCAATCGCAGATTCTACAAGAAGACTGTTTACAACCTGCTCTATCTATAGGAATGTTCAACTCTGTGAGTCGAATGCAATCATCACAAAGTAGTTTCTGAGAATGCTTCCATCTAGTTTTTATGTGAAGATTTTCCTTTTCCACCACAGGCCTCAAAGCCCTCCAAATGTCCACTTGCAGATTCTAGAAAAAGAGGGTTTCAGAGCTGCTCTGTCAAGAGGAAAGTTCAATTCTTGAAGTGGAACACAAACATCACAAAGCAGTTTCTGAGAATGCTCCTGTTTAGTTTTTCTGTGAAGATGAACCCGTTTCCAACGAAATCTTCACAGAGGTCCACATATCCACTTGCAGAATCCAAAGAAAGAGAGTTTCAAAACTGCTCTATCAGCAGGATTGTTCACCTCTGTGAGATGAATGCAGTCATCACAGGAAACATTCTGCGAATGCTTCTGTCTAGGTTTGATGTGAAGATATACCCGTTTCGAAGGAAGGCCACAAAGTGGTCCAAATATCCACTTGCAGATTCTACAAAAAGAGTGTTTGAAAGCTGAACTATGAAAGCAAGATTCAACTCTGTGAGTTGAATGCAAACATCACAAAGATGTTTCTCAGAATGCTTCCGTGTAGTTCTGGGAAGTTTATCCCGTTTCCAACGAAATCCTCAGAGAAGTCCAAATATCCACTTGCAGATTCTACAGAAAGTGCGTTTGGAAAATGCTCCATCTAAAGGAATGTTCAGCTCTGTTAGTTCAATCCAATGATCACTAAGAATTGTCTGTGAATGCTTCCGTTTGGTTTTTAGATGAAGTTATTTCCTTTACTACAGTAGGCCTCAAAGCAGTCCAAATCTCCAATCGCAGATTCTACAAAAAGATTGTTTACAACCTGCTCTATCTATAGGAATGTTCAACTCTGTGAGTCGAATGCAATCATCACAAAGTAGTTTCTGAGAATGCTTCCATCTAGTTTTTATGTGAAGATTTTCCTTTTCCACCACAGGCCTCAAAGCCCTCCAAATGTCCACTTGCAGATTCTAGAATAAGAGGGTTTCAGAGCTGCTCTGTCAAGAGGAAAGTTCAATTCCTGAAGTGGAACACAAACATAACAAAGCAGTTTCTGAGAATGCTCCTGTTTAGTTTTTCTGTGAAGATGAACCCGTTTCCAACGAAATCTTCACAGAGGTCCACATATCCACTTGCAGAATCCAAAGAAAGAGAGTTTCAAAACTGCTCCATCAGCAGGATTGTTCACCTCTGTGAGTTGAATGCAGTCATCACAGGAAACATTCTGAGAATGCTTCTGTCTAGGTTTGATGTGAAGATATACCCGTTTCGAAGGAAGGCCACAAAGTGGTCCAAATATCCACTTGCAGATTCTACAAAAAGAGTGTTTGAAAGCTGAACTATGAAAGCAAGGTTCAACTCTGTGAGTTGAATGCAAACATCACAAAGAAGTTTCTCAGAATGCTTCCGTGTAGTTCTGGGAAGTTTATCCCGTTTCCAACGAAATCCTCAGAGAAGTCCAAATATCCACTTGCAGATTCTACAGAAAGTGGGTTTGGAAACTGCTCCATCTAAAGGAATGTTCAGCTCTGTTAGTTCAATCCAATGATCACTAAGAATTGTCTGTGAATGCTTCCGTTTCGTTTTTAGATGAAGTTATTTCCTTTACTACAGTAGGCCTCAAAGCAGTCCAAATCTCCAATCGCAGATTCTACAAAAAGATTGTTTACAACCTGCTCTATCTATAGGAATGTTCAACTCTGTGAGTCGAATGCAATCATCACAAAGTAGTTTCTGAGAATGCTTCCATCTAGTTTTTATGTGAAGATTTTCCTTTTCCACCACAGGCCTCAAAGCCCTCCAAATGTCCACTTGCAGATTCTAGAAAAAGAGGTTTTCAGAGCTGCTCTGTCAAGAGGAAAGTTCAATTCTTGAAGTGGAACACAAACATCACAAAGCAGTTTCTGAGAATGCTCCTGTTTAGTTTTTCTGTGAAGATGAAACCGTTTCCAACGAAATCTTCACAGAGGTCCACATATCCACTTGCAGAATCCAAAGAAAGAGAGTTTCAAAACTGCTCCATCAGCAGGATTGTTCACCTCTGTGAGTTGAATGCAGTCATCACAGGAAACATTCTGAGAATGCTTCTGTCTAGGTTTGATGTGAAGATATACCCGTTTCGAAGGAAGGCCACAAAGTGGTCCAAATATCCACTTGCAGATTCTACAAAAAGAGTGTTTGAAAGCTGAACTATGAAAGCAAGGTTCAACTCTGTGAGTTGAATGTAAACATCCAAAGAAGTTTCTCAGAATGCTTCCCGTGTAGTTCTGGGAAGTTTATCCCGTTTCCAACGAAATCCTCAGAGAAGTCCAAATATCCACTTGCAGATTCTACAGAAAGTGTGTTTGGAAACTGCGCCATCTAAAGGAATGTTCAGCTCTGTTAGTTCAATGCAATGATCACTAAGAATTGTCTGTGAATGCTTCCGTTTGGTTTTTAGATGAAGTTATTTCCTTTACTACAGTAGGCCTCAAAGCAGTCCAAATCTCCAATCGCAGATTCTACAAAAAGATTGTTTACAACCTGCTCTATCTATAGGAATGTTCAACTCTGTGAGTCGAATGCAATCATCACAAAGTAGTTTCTGAGAATGCTTCCATCTAGTTTTTATGTGAAGATTTTCCTTTTCCACCACAGGCCTCAAAGCCCTCCAAATGTCCACTTGCAGATTCTAGAAAAAGAGGGTTTCAGAGCTGCTCTGTCAAGAGGAAAGTTCAATTCTTGAAGTGGAACACAAACATCACAAAGTAGTTTCTGAGAATGCTCCTGTTTAGTTTTTCTGTGAAGATGAACCCGTTTCCAACGAAATCTTCACAGAGGTCCACATATCCACTTGCAGAATCCAAAGAAAGAGAGTTTCAAAACTGCTCCATCAGCAGGATTGTTCACCTCTGTGAGTTGAATGAAGTCATCACAGGAAACATTCTCAGAATGCTTCTGTCTAGGTTTGATGGGAAGATATACCCGTTTCGAAGGAAGGCCACAAAGTGGTCCAAATATCCACTTGCAGATTCTACAAAAAGAGTGTTTGAAAGCTGAACTATGAAAGCAAGGTTCAACTCTGTGAGTTGAATGCAAACATCACAAAGAAGTTTCTCACAATGCTTCCGTGTAGTTCTGGGAAGTTTATCCCGTTTCCAACGAAATCCTCAGAGAAGTCCAAATATCCACTTGCAGATTCTACAGAAAGTGTGTTTGGAAACTGCTCCATCTAAAGGAATGTTCAGGTCTGTTAGTTCAATCCAATGATCACTAAGAATTGTCTGTGAATGCTTCCGTTTGGTTTTTAGATGAAGTTATTTCCTTTACTACAGTAGGCCTCAAAGCAGTCCAAATCTCCATTCGCAGATTCTACAAAAAGATTGTTTACAACCTGCTCTATCTATAGGAATGTTCAACTCTGTGAGTCGAATGCAATCATCACAAAGTAGTTTCTGAGAATGCTTCCATCTAGTTTTTATGTGAAGATTTTCCTTTTCCACCACAGGCCTCAAAGCCTTCCAAATGTCCACTTGCAGATTCTAGAAAAAGAGGGTTTCAGAGCTGCTCTGTCAAGAGGAAAGTTCAATTCTTGAAGTGGAACACAAACATCACAAAGTAGTTTCTGAGAATGCTTCTGTTTAGTTTTTCTGTGAAGATGAACCGGTTTCCAACGAAATCTTCACAGAGGTCCACATATCAACTTGCAGAATCCAAAGAAAGAGAGTTTCAAAAGTGCTCCATCAACGGGATTGTTCACCTCTGTGAGTTGAATGCAGTCATCACAGGAAACATTCTGATAATGCTTCTGTCTAGGTTTGATGTGAAGATATACCCGTTTCGAAGGAAGGCCACAAAGTGGTCCAAATATCCACTTGCAGATTCTACAAAAAGAGTGTTTGAAAGCTGAACTATGAAAGCAAGGTTCAACTCTGTGAGTTGAATGCAAACATCACAAAGAAGTTTCTCACAATGCTTCCGTGTAGTTCTGGGAAGTTTATCCCGTTTCCAACGAAATCCTCAGAGAAGTCCAAATATCCACTTGCAGATTCTACAGAAAGTGTGTTTGGAAACTGCGCCATCTAAAGGAATGTTCAGCTCTGTTAGTTCAATCCAATGATCACTAAGAATTGTCTGTGAATGCTTCCGTTTGGTTTTTAGATGAAGTTATTTCCTTTACTACAGTAGGCCTCAAAGCAGTCCAAATCTCCAATCGCAGATTCTACAAAAAGATTGTTTACAACCTGCTCTATCTATAGGAATGTTCAACTCTGTGAGTCGAATGCAATCATCACAAAGTAGTTTCTGAGAATGCTTCCATCTAGTTTTTATGTGAAGATTTTCCTTTTCCACCACAGGCCTCAAAGCCCTCCAAATGTCCACTTGCAGATTCTAGAATAAGAGGGTTGCAGAGCTGCTCTGTCAAGAGGAAAGTTCAATTCCTGAAGTGGAACACAAACATCACAAAGCAGTTTCTGAGAATGCTTCTGTTTAGTTTTTCTGTGAAGATGAACCCGTTTCCAACGAAATCTTCACAGAGGTCCACATATCCACTTGCAGAATCCAAAGAAAGAGAGTTTCAAAACTGCTCCATCAACAGGATTGTTCACCTCTGTGAGTTGAATGCAGTCATCACAGGAAACATTCTGAGAATGCTTCTGTCTAGGTTTGATGTGAAGATATACCCGTTTCGAAGGAAGGCCACAAAGTGGTCCAAACATCCACTTGCAGATTCTACAAAAAGAGTGTTTGAAAGCTGAACTATGAAAGCAAGGTTCAACTCTGTGAGTTGAATGCAAACATCACAAAGAAGTTTCTCAGCATGCTTCCATGTAGTTCTGGGAAGTTTATCCCGTTTCCAACGAAATCCTCAGAGAAGTCCAAATATCCACTTGCAGATTCTACAGAAAGTGGGTTTGGAAACTGCTCCATCTAAAGGAATGTTCAGCCCTGTTAGTTCAATCCAATGATCACTAAGAATTGTCTGTGAATGCTTCCGTTTGGTTTTTAGATGAAGTTATTTCCTTTACTACAGTAGGCCTCAAAGCAGTCCAAATCTCCAATCGCAGATTCTACAAAAAGATTGTTTACAACCTGCTCTATCTATAGGAATGTTCAACTCTGTGAGTCGAATGCAATCATCACAAAGTAGTTTCTGAGAATGCTTCCATCTAGTTTTTATGTGAAGATTTTCCTTTTCCACCACAGGCCTCAAAGCCCTCCAAATGTCCACTTGCAGATTCTAGAAAAAGAGGGTTTCAGAGCTGCTCTGTCAAGATGAAAGTTCAATTCTTGAAGTGGAACACAAACATCACAAAGTAGTTTCTGAGAATGCTTCTTTTTATTTTTTCTGTGAAGATGAACCCGTTTCCAACGAAATCTTCACAGAGGTCCACATATCAACTTGCAGAATCCAAAGAAAGAGAGTTTCAAAAGTGCTCCATCAGCAGGATTGTTCACCTCTGTGAGTTGAATGCAGTCATCACAGGAAACATTCTGAGAATGCTTCTGTCTAGGTTTGATGTGAAGATATACCCGTTTCGAAGGAAGGCCACAAAGTGGTCCAAATATCCGCTTGCAGATTCTACAAAAAGAGTGTTTGAAAGCTGAACTATGAAAGCAAGGTTCAACTCTGTGAGTTGAATGCAAACATCACAAAGAAGTTTCTCAGCATGCTTCCGTGTAGTTCTGGGAAGTTTATCCCGTTTCCAACGAAATCCTCAGAGAAGTCCAAATATCCACTTGCAGATTCTACAGAAAGTGTGTTTGGAAACTGCTCCATCTAAAGGAATGTTCAGCTCTGTTAGTTCAATCCAATGATCACTAAGAATTGTCTGTGAATGTTTCCGTTAGGTTTTTAGATGAAGTTATTTCCTTTACTACAGTAGGCCTCAAAGCAGTCCAAATCTCCAATCGCAGATTCTACAAAAAGATTTTTTACAACCTGCTCTATCTATAGGAATGTTCAACTCTGTGAGTCGAATGCAATCATCACAAAGTAGTTTCTGAGAATGCTTCCATCTAGTTTTTATGTGAAGATTTTCCTTTTCCACCACAGGCCTCAAAGCCCTCCAAATGTCCACTTGCAGATTCTAGAAAAAGAGGGTTTCACAGCTGCTCTGTCAAGAGGAAAGTTCAATTCTTGAAGTGGAACACAAACATCACAAAGCAGTTTCTGAGAATGCTTCTGTTTAGTTTTTCTGTGAAGATGAACCCGTTTCCAACGAAATCTTCACAGAGGTCCACATATCAACTTGCAGAATCCAAAGAAAGAGAGTTTCAAAAGTGCTCCATCAACAGGATTGTTCACCTCTGTGAGTTGAATGCAGTCATCACAGGAAACATTCTGAGAATGCTTCTGTCTAGGTTTGATGTGAAGATATACCCGTTTCGAAGGAAGGCCACAAAGTGGTCCAAATATCCACTTGCAGATTCTACAAAAAGAGTGTTTGAAAGCTGAACTATGAAAGCAAGGTTCAACCCTGTGAGTTGAATACAAACATCACAAAGAAGTTTCTCACAATGCTTCCGTGTAGTTCTGGGAAGTTTATCCCGTTTCCAACGAAATCCTCAGAGAGGTCAAAATATCCACTGGCAGATTCTACAGAAAGTGTGTTTGGAAACTGCTCCATCTAAAGGAATGTTCAGCTCTGTTAGTTCAATCCAATGATCACTAAGCATTGTCTGTGAATGCTTCCGTTTGGTTTTTAGATGAAGTTATTTCCTTTACTGCAGTAGGCCTCAAAGCATTCCAAATCTCGAATCGCAGATTCTACAAAAAGATTGTTTACAACCTGCTCTATCTATAGGAATGTTCAACTCTGTGAGTCGAATGCAATCATCACAAAGTAGTTTCTGAGAATGCTTCCATCTAGTTTTTATGTGAAGATTTTCCTTTTCCACCACAGGCCTCAAAGCCCTCCAAATGTCCACTTGCAGATTCTAGAAAAAGAGGGTTTCAGAGCTGCTCTGTCAAGAGGAAAGTTCAATTCTTGAAGTGGAACACAAACATCACAAAACAGTTTCTGAGAATGCTCCTGTTTAGTTTTTCTGTGAAGATGAACCCGTTTCCAACGAAATCTTCACAGAGGTCCACATATCCACTTGCAGAATCCAAAGAAAGAGAGTTTCAAAACTGCTCCATCAGCAGGATTGTTCACCTCTGTGAGTTGAATGCAGTCATCACAGGAAACATTCTGAGAATGCTTCTGTCTAGGTTTGATGTGAAGATATACCCGTTTCGAAGGAAGGCCACAAAGTGGTCCAAATATCCACTTGCAGATTCTACAAAAAGAGTGTTTGAAAGCTGAACTATGAAAGCAAGGTTCAACTCTGTGAGGTGAATGCAAACATCCAAAGAAGTTTCTCAGAATGCTTCCGTGTAGTTCTGGGAAGTTTATCCCGTTTCCAACGAAATCCTCAGAGAGGTCCAAATATCCACTTGCAGATTCTACAGAAAGTGTGTTTGGAAACTGCGCCATCTAAAGGAATGTTCAGCTCTGTTAGTTCAATCCAATGATCACTAAGAATTGTCTGTGAATGCTTCCGTTTGGTTTTTAGATGAAGTTCTTTCCTTTACTACAGTAGGCCTCAAAGCAGTCCAAATCTCCAATCGCAGATTCTACAAAAAGATTGTTTACAACCTGCACTATCTATAGGAATGTTCAACTCTGTGAGTCGAATGCAATCATCACAAAGTAGTTTCTGAGAATGCTTCCATCTAGTTTTTATGTGAAGATTTTCCTTTTCCACCACAGGCCTCAAAGCCCTCCAAATGTCCACTTGCAGATTCTAGAAAAAGAGGGTTTCAGAGCTGCTCTGTCAAGAGGAAAGTTGAATTGTTGAAGTGGAACACAAACATCACAAAGTAGTTTCAGAGAATGCTTCTGTTTAGTTTTTCTGTGAAGATGAACCCGTTTCCAACGAAATCTTCACAGAGGTCCACATATCCACTTGCAGAATCCAAAGAAGGAGAGTTTCAAAACTGCTCCATCAACAGGATTGTTCACCTCTGTGAGTTGAATGCAGTCATCACAGGAAACATTCTGAGAATGCTTCTGTCTAGGTTTGATGTGAAGATATACCCGTTTCGAAGGAAGGCCACAAAGTGGTCCAAATATCCACTTGCAGATTCTACAAAAAGAGTGTTTGAAAGCTGAACTATGAAAGCAAGGTTCAACTCTGTGAGTTGAATGCAAACATCACAAAGAAGTTTCTCAGAATGCTTCCGTGTAGTTCTGGGAAGTTTATCCAGTTTCCAACGAAATCCTCAGAGAAGTCCAAATATCCACTTGCAGATTCTACAGAAAGTGGGTTTGGAAACTGCTCCATCTAAAGGAATGTTCAGCTCTGTTAGTTCAAACCAATGATCACTAAGAATTGTCTGTGAATGCTTCCGTTTGGTTTTTAGATGAAGTTATTTAATTTACTACAGTAGGCCTCAAAGCAGTCCAAATCTCCAATCGCAGATTCTACAAAAAGATTGTTTACAACCTGCTCTATCTATAGGAATGTTCAACTCTGTGAGTCGAATGCAATCATCACAAAGTAGTTTCTGAGAATGCTTCCATCTAGTTTTTATGTGAAGATTTTCCTTTTCCACCACAGGCCTCAAAGCCCTCCAAATGTCCACTTGCAGATTCTAGAAAAAGAGGGTTTCAGAGCTGGTCTGTCAAGAGGAAAGTTCAATTCCTGAAGTGGAACACAAACATCACAAAGCAGTTTCTGAGAATGCTTCTGTTTAGTTTTTCTGTGAAGATGAACCCGTTTCCAACGAAATCTTCACAGAGGTCCACATATCCACTTGCAGAATCCAAAGAAAGAGAGTTTCAAAACTGCTCCATCAGCAGGATTGTTCACCTCTGTGAGTTGAATGCAGTCATCACAGGAAACATTCTGAGAATGTTTCTGTCTAGGTTTGATGTGAAGATATACCCGTTTCAAAGGAAGGCCACAAAGTGGTCCAAATATCCACTTTCAGATTCTACAAAAAGAGTGTTTGAAAGCTGAACTATGAAAGCAAGGTTCAACTCTGTGAGTTGAATGCAAACTTCACAAAGAAGTTTCTCACAATGCTTCCGTGTAGTTCTGGGAAGTTTATCCCGTTTCCAACGAAATCCTCAGAGAGGTCAAAATATGCACTTGCAGATTCTACAGAAAGTGTGTTTGGAAACTACGCCATCTAAAGGAATGTTCAGCTCTGTTAGATGAATGCAATGATCACTAAGAATTGTCTGTGAATGCTTCCGTTTGGTTTTTAGGTGAAGTTATTTCCTTTACTACAGTAGGCCTCAAAGCAGTCCAAATCTCCAATCGCAGATTCTACAAAAAGATTGTTTACAACCTGCTCTATCTATAGGAATGTTCAACTCTGTGAGTCGAATGCAATCATCACAAAGTAGTTTCTGAGAATGCTTCCATCTAGTTTTTATGTGAAGATTTTCCTTTTCCACCACAGGCCTCAAAGCCCTCCAAATGTCCACTTGCAGATTCTAGAAAAAGAGGGTTTCAGAGCTGCTCTGTCAAGAGGAAAGTTCAATTCCTGA
Source organism: Homo sapiens (assembly GCF_000001405.40). Lineage (NCBI taxonomy): Eukaryota > Metazoa > Chordata > Mammalia > Primates > Hominidae > Homo > Homo sapiens. Next base: position 53,449,114 of record NC_000011.10, on the reverse strand, counting down.
AGTGGAACACAAACATCACAAAGCAGTTTCTGAGAATGCTCCTGTTTAGTTTTTCTGTGAAGATGAACCCGTTTCCAACGAAATCTTCACAGTAGGTCCACATATCCACTTGCAGAATCCAAAGAAAGAGAGTTTCAAAACTGCTCCATCAACAGGATTGTTCACCTCTGTGAGTTGAATGCAGTCATCACAGGAAACATTCTGAGAATGCTTCTGTCTAGGTTTGATGTGAAGATATACCCGTTTCGAAGGAAGGCCACAAAGTGGTCCAAATATCCACTTGCAGATTCTACAAAAAGAGTGTTTGAAAGCTGAACTATGAAAGCAAGGTTCAACTCTGTGAGTTGAATGCAAACATCACAAAGAAGTTTCTCAGAATGCTTCCGTGTATTTCTGGGAAGTTCAGCCCGTTTCCAACGAAATCCTCCGAGAGGTCCAAATATCCAGTTGCAGATTCTACAGAAAGTGTGTTTCGAAACTGCGCCATCTAAAGGAATGTTCAGCTCTGTTAGTTCAATCCAATGATCACTAAGAATTGTCTGTGAATGCTTCCGTTTGGTTTTTAGATGAAGTTATTTCCTTTACTACAGTAGGCCTCAAAGCAGTCCAAATCTCCAATCGCAGATTCTACAAAAAGATTGTTTACAACCTGCTCTATGTATAGGAATGTTCAACTCTGTGAGTCGAATGCAATCATCACAAAGTAGTTTCTGAGAATGCTTCCATCTAGTTTTTATGTGAAGATTTTCCTTTTCCACCACAGGCCTCAAATCCCTCCAAATGTCCACTTGCAGATTCTAGAAAAAGAGGGTTTCAGAGCTGCTCTGTCAAGAGGAAAGTTCAATTCTTGAAGTGGAACACAAACATCACAAAGCAGTTTCTGAGAATGCTTCTGTTTAGTTTTTCTGTGAAGATGAACTCGTTTCCAACGAAATCTTCACAGAGGTCCACATATCCACTTGCAGAATCCAAAGAAAGGGAGTTTCAAAACTGCTCCATCAGCAGGATTGTTCACCTCTGTGAGTTGAATGCAGTCATCACAGGAAACATTCTGAGAATGCTTCTGTCTAGGTTTGATGTGAAGATATACCCTTTTCGAAGGAAGGCCACAAAGTGGTCCAAATATCCACTTGCAGATTCTACAAAAAGAGTGTTTGAAAGCTGAACTATGAAAGCAAGGTGCAAATCCTGTGAGTTGAATGCAAACATCACAAAGAAGTTTCTCAGAATGCTTTCCGTGTAGTTCTGGGAAGTTTATCCCGTTTCCAACGAAATCCTCAGAGAAGTCCAAATATCCACTTGCAGATTCTACAGAAAGTGTGTTTGGAAACTGCTCCATCTAAAGGAATGTTCAGCTCTGTTAGTTCAATGCAATGATCACTAAGAATTGTCTGTGAATGCTTCCGTTTGGTTTTTAGATGAAGTTATTTCCTTTACTACAGTAGGCCTCAAAGCAGTCCAAATCTCCAATCGCAGATTCTACAAAAAGATTGTTTACAACCTGCTCTATCTATAGGAATGTTCAACTCTGTGAGTCGAATGCAATCATCACAAAGTAGTTTCTGAGAATGCTTCCATCTAGTTTTTATGTGAAGATTTTCCTTTTCCACCACAGGCCTCAAAGCCCTCCAAATGTCCACTTGCAGATTCTAGAATAAGAGGGTTTCAGAGCTGCTCTGTCAAGAGGAAAGTTCAATTCCTGAAGTGGAACACAAACATCACAAAGCAGTTTCCGAGAATGCTTCCTCTGTTTAGTTTTTCTGTGAAGATGAACCCGTTTCCAACGAAATCTTCACAGAGGTCCACATATCAACTTGCAGAATCCAAAGAAAGAGAGTTTCAAAACTGCTCCATCAACAGGATTGTTCACCTCTGTGAGTTGAATGCAGTCATCACAGGAAACATTCTGAGAATGCTTCTGTCTAGGTTTGATGTGAAGATATACCCGTTTCGAAGGAAGGCCACAAAGTGGTCCAAATATCCACTTGCAGATTCTGCAAAAAGAGTGTTTGAAAGCTGAACTATGAAAGCAAGGTTCAACTCTGTGAGTTGAATGCAAACATCACAAAGAAGTTTCTCAGAATGCTTCCGTGTAGTTCTAGGAAGTTTATCCCGTTTCCAACGAAATCCTCAGAGAGGTCCAAATATCCACTTGCAGATTCTACAGAAAGTGTGTTTGGAAACTGCTCCATCTAAAGGAATGTTCAGCTCTGTTAGTTCAATCCAATGATCACTAAGAATTGTCTGTGAATGCTTCCGTTTGGTTTTTAGATGAAGTTATTTCCTTTACTACAGTAGGCCTCAAAGCAGTCCAAATCTCCAATCGCAGATTCTACAAAAAGATTGTTTACAACCTGCTCTATCTATAGGAATGTTCAACTCTGTGAGTCGAAAGCCATCATCACAAAGTAGTTTCTGAGAATGCTTCCATAAAGTTTTTATGTGAAGATTTTCCTTTCCCACCACAGGCCTCAAAGCCCTCCAAATGTCCACTTGCAGATTCTAGAATAAGAGGGTTTCAGAAGCTGCTCTGTCAAGAGGAAAGTTCAATTCTTGAAGTGGAACACAAACATCACAAAGCAGTTTCTGAGAATGCTTCTGTTTAGATTTTCTGTGAAGATGAACCCGTTTCCAACGAAATCTTCACAGAGGTCCACATATCAACTTGCAGAATCCAAAGAAAGAGAGTTTCAAAAGTGCTCCATCAACAGGATTGTTCACCTCTGTGAGTTGAATGCAGTCATCACAGGAAACACTCTGAGAATGCTTCTGTCTAGGTTTGATGTGAAGATATACCCGTTTCGAAGGAAGGCCACAAAGTGGTCCAAATATCCACTTGCAGATTCTACAAAAAGAGTGTTTGAAAGTTGAACTATGAAAGCAAGGTTCACCTCTGTGAGTTGAATGCAAACATCACAAAGAAGTTTCTCAGAATGCTTCCGTGTAGTTCTGGGAAGTTTATCCCGTTTCCAACGAAATCCTCAGAGAAGTCCAAATATCCACTTGCAGATTCTACAGAAAGTGTGTTTGGAAACTGCTCCATCTAAAGGAATGTTCAACTCTGTTAGTTCAATCCAATGATCACTAAGAATTGTCTGTGAATGCTTCCGTTTGGTTTTTAGATGAAGTTATTTCCTTTACTACAGTAGGCCTCAAAGCAGTCCAAATCTCCAATCGCAGATTCTACAAAAAGATTGTTTACAACCTGCTCTATCTATAGGAATGTTCAACTCTGTGAGTCGAATGCAATCATCACAAAGTAGTTTCTGAGAATGCTTCCATCTAGTTTTTATGTGAAGATTTTCCTTTTCCACCACAGGCCTCAAAGCCCTCCAAATGTCCACTTGCAGATTCTTGAAAAAGAGGGTTTCAGAGCTGCTCTGTCAAGAGGAAAGTTCAATTCCTGAAGTGGAACACAAACATCACAAAGCAGTTTCTGAGAATTCTCCTGTTTAGTTTTTCTGTGAAGATGAACCCGTTTCCAACGAAATCTTCACAGAGGTCCACATATCCACTTGCAGAATCCAAAGAAAGAGAGTTTCAAAACTGCTCCATCAGCAGGATTGTTCACCTCTGTGAGTTGAATGCAGTCATCACAGGAAACATTCTGAGAATGCTTCTGTCTAGGTTTGATGTGAAGATATACCCGTTTCGAAGGAAGGCCACAAAGTGGTCCAAATATCCACTTGCAGATTCTACAAAAAGAGTGTTTGAAAGCTGAACTATGAAAGCAAGGTTCAACTCTGTGAGTTGAATGCAAACATCACAAAGAAGTTTCTCACAATGCTCCGTGTAGTTCTGGGAAGTTTATCCCGTTTCCAACGAAATCCTCAGAGAAGTCCAAATATCCACTTGCAGATTCTACAGAAAGTGTGTTTGGAAAATGCTCCATCTAAAGGAATGTTCAGCTCTGTTAGTTCAATCCAATGATCACTAAGAATTGTCTGTGAATGCTTCCGTTTGGTTTTTAGATGAAGTTATTTCCTTTACTACAGTAGGCCTCAAAGCAGTCCAAATCTCCAATCGCAGATTCTACAAAAAGATTGTTTACAACCTGCTCAATCTATAGGAATGTTCAACTCTGTGAGTCGAATGCAATCATCACAAAATAGTTTCTGAGAATGCTTCCATAAAGTTTTTATGTGAAGATTTTCCTTTTCCACCACAGGCCTCAAAGCCCTCCAAATGTCCACTTGCAGATTCTAGAAAAAGAGGGTTTCAGAGCTGCTCTGTCAAGAGGAAAGTTCAATTCTTGAAGTGGAACACAAACATCACAAAGCAGTTTCTGAGAATGCTTCTGTTTAGTTTTTCTGTGAAGATGAACCCGTTTCCAACGAAATCTTCACAGAGGTCCACATATCCACTTGCAGAATCCAAAGAAGGAGAGTTTCAAAACTGCTCCATCAGCAGGATTGTTCACCTCTGTGAGTTGAATGCAGTCATCACAGGAAACATTCTGAGAATGCTTCTGTCTAGGTTTGATGTGAAGATATACCCGTTTCGAAGGAAGGCCACAAAGTGGTCCAAATATCCACTTGCAGATTCTACAAAAAGAGTGTTTGAAAGCTGAACTATGAAAGCAAGGTTCAACTCTGTGAGTTGAATGCAAACATCACAAAGAAGTTTCTCACAATGCTTCCGTGTAGTTCTGGGAAGTTTATCCCGTTTCCAACGAAATCCTCAGAGAAGTCCAAATATCCACTTGCAGATTCTACAGAAAGTGTGTTTGGAAACTGCTCCATCTAAAGGAATGTTCAGCTCTGTTAGTTCAATCCAATGATCACTAAGAATTGTCTGTGAATGCTTCCGTTTGGTTTTTAGATGAAGTTATTTCCTTTACTACAGTAGGCCTCAAAGCAGTCCAAATCTCCAATCGCAGATTCTACAAAAGATTGTTTACAACCTGCTCTATCTATAGGAATGTTCAACTCTGTGAGTCGAATGCAATCATCACAAAGTAGTTTCTGAGAATGCTTCCATCTAGTTTTTATGTGAAGATTTTCCTTTTCCACCACAGGCCTCAAAGCCCTCCAAATGTCCACTTGCAGATTCTAGAAAAAGAGGGTTTCAGAGCTGCTCTGTCAAGAGGAAAGTTCAATTCTTGAAGTGGAACACAAACATCACAAAGCAGTTTCTGAGAATGCTTCTGTTTAGTTTTTCTGTGAAGATGAACCCGTTTCCAACGAAATCTTCACAGAGGTCCACATATCAACTTGCAGAATCCAAAGAAAGAGAGTTTCAAAACTGCTCCATCAACAGGATTGTTCACCTCTGTGAGTTGAATGCAGTCATCACAGGAAACATTCTGAGAATGCTTCTGTCTAGGTTTGATGTGAAGATATACCCGTTTCGAAGGAAGGCCACAAAGTGGTCCAAATATCCACTTGCAGATTCTACAAAAAGAGTGTTTGAAAGCTGAACTATGAAAGCAAGGTTCAACTCTGTGAGTTGAATGCAAACATCACAAAGAAGTTTCTCACAATGCTTCCGTGTAGTTCTGGGAAGTTTATCCCGTTTCCAACGAAATCCTCAGAGAGGTCCAAATATCCACTTGCAGATTCTACAGAAAGTGTGTTTGGAAACTGCGCCATCTAAAGGAATGTTCAGCTCTGTTAGTTCAATGCAATGATCACTAAGAATTGTCTGTGAATGCTTCCGTTTGGTTTTTAGATGAAGTTATTTCCTTTACTACAGTAGGCCTCAAAGCAGTCCAAATCTCCAATCGCAGATTCTACAAAAAGATTGTTCACAACCTGCTCTATCTATAGGAATGTTCAACTCTTTGAGTCGAATGCAATCATCACAAAGTAGTTTCTGAGAATTCTTCCATCTAGTTTTTATGTGAAGATTTTCCTTTTCCACCACAGGCCTCAAAGCCCTCCAAATGTCCACTTGCAGATTCTAGAAAAAGAGGGTTTCAGAGCTGCTCTGTCAAGAGGAAAGTTCAATTCTTGAAGTGGAACACAAACATCACAAAGCAGTTTCTGAGAATGCTCCTGTTTAGTTTTTCTGTGAAGATGAACCCGTTTCCAACGAAATCTTCACAGAGGTCCACATATCCACTTGCAGAATCCAAAGAAAGAGAGTTTCAAAACTGCTCCATCAGCAGGATTGTTCACCTCTGTGAGTTGAATGCAGTCATCACAGGAAACATTCTGAGAATGCTTCTGTCTAGGTTTGATGTGAAGATATACCCGTTTCGAAGGAAGGCCACAAAGTGGTCCAAATATCCACTTGCAGATTCTACAAAAAGAGTGTTTGAAAGCTGAACTATGAAAGCAAGGTTCAACTCTGTGAGTTGAATGCAAACATCACAAAGAAGTTTCTCAGAATGCTTCCGTGTAGTTCTGGGAAGTTTATCCCGTTTCCAACGAAATCCTCAGAGAGGTCCAAATATCCACTTGCAGATTCTACAGAAAGTGTGTTTGGAAACTGCGCCATCTAAAGGAATGTTCAGCTCTGTTAGTTCAATGCAATGATCACTAGGAATTGTCTGTGAATGCTTCCGTTTGGTTTTTAGATGAAGTTATTTCCTTTACTACAGTAGGCCTAAATGCAGTCCAAATCTCCAATCGCAGATTCTACAAAAAGATTGTTTACAACCTGCTCTATCTATAGGAATGTTCAACTCTTTGAGTCGAATGCAATCATCACAAAGTAGGTTCTGAGAATGCTTCCATCTAGTTTTTATGTGAAGATTTTCCTTTTCCACCACAGGCCTCAATGCCCTCCAAATGTCCACTTGCAGATTCTAGAAAAAGAGGGTTTCAGAGCTGCTCTGTCAAGAGGAAAGTTCAATTCTTGAAGTGGAACACAAACATCACAAAGCAGTTTCTGAGAATGCTTCTGTTTAGTTTTTCTGTGAAGATGAACCCGTTTCCAACGAAATCTTCACAGAGGTCCACATATCCACTTGCAGAATCCAAAGAAAGAGAGTTTCAAAACTGCTCCATCAGCAGGATTGTTCACCTCTGTGAGTTGAATGCAGTCATCACAGGAAACATTCTGAGAATGCTTCTGTCTAGGTTTGATGTGAAGATATACCCGTTTCGAAGGAAGGCCACAAAGTGGTCCAAATATCCACTTGCAGATTCTACAAAAAGAGTGTTTGAAACCTGAACTATGAAAGCAACGTTCAACTCTGTGAGTTGAATGCAAACGTCACAAAGAAGTTTCTCAGAATGCTTCCGTGTAGTTCTGGGAAGTTTATCCCGTTTCCAACGAAATCCTCAGAGAGGTCCAAATATCCACTTGCAGATTCTACAGAAAGTGTGTTTGGAAACTGCGCCATCTAAAGGAATGTTCAGCTCTGTTAGTTCAATCCAATGATCACTAAGAATTGTCTGTGAATGCTTCCGTTTGGTTTTTAGATGAAGTTATTTCCTTTACTACAGTAGGCCTCAAAGCAGTCCAAATCTCCAATCGCAGATTCTACAAAAAGATTGTTTACAACCTGCTCTATCTATAGGAATGTTCAACTCTGTGAGTCGAATGCAATCATCACAAAGTAGTTTCTGAGAATGCTTCCATCTAGTTTTTATGTGAAGATTTTCCTTTTCCACCACAGGCCTCAAAGCCCTCCAAATGTCCACTTGCAGATTCTAGAATTCTGTCAAGAGGAAAGTTCAATTCCTGAAGTGGAACACAAACATCACAAAGCAGTTTCTGAGAATGCTTCTGTTTAGTTTTTCTGTGAAGATGAACCCGTTTCCAACGAAATCTTCACAGTAGGTCCACATATCAACTTGCAGAATCCAAAGAAAGAGAGTTTCAAAAGTGCTCCATCAACAGGATTGTTCACCTCTGTGAGTTGAATGCAGTCATCACAGGAAACATTCTGAGAATGCTTCTGTCTAGGTTTGATGTGAAGATATACCCGTTTCGAAGGAAGGCCACAAAGTGGTCCAAATATCCACTTGCAGATTCTACAAAAAGAGTGTTTGAAAGCTGAACTATGAAAACAAGGTTCAACTCTGTGAGTTGAATGCAAACATCACAAAGAAGTTTCTCAGAATGCTTCTGTGTAGTTCTGGGAATTTATCCCTTTTCCAACGAAATCCTCAGAGAAGTCCCAATATCCACTTGCATATTCTACAGAAAGTGTGTTGGGAAACTGCGCCATCTAAAGGAATGTTCAGCTCTCTTAGTTCAATCCAATGATCACAAAGTATTGTCTGTGAATGCTTCCGTTTGGTTTTTAGATGAAGTTATTTCCTTTACTACAGTAGGCCTCAAAGCAGTCCAAATCTCCAATCGCAGATTCTACAAAAAGATTGTTTACAACCTGCTCTATCTATAGGAATGTTCAACTCTGTGAGTCGAATGCAATCATCACAAAGTAGTTTCTGAGAATGCTTCCATCTAGTTTTTATGTGAAGATTTTCCTTTTCCACCACAGGCCTCAAAGCCCTCCAAATGTCCACTTGCAGATTCTAGAAAAAGAGGGTTTCAGAGCTGCTCTGTCAAGAGGAAAGTTCAATTCCTGAAGTGGAACACAAACATCACAAAGCAGTTTCTGAGAATGCTTCTGTTTAATTTTTCTGTGAAGATGAACCCGTTTCCAACGAAATCTTCACAGAGGTCCACATATCCACTTGCAGAATCCAAAGAAAGAGAGTTTCAAAACTGCTCCATCAACAGGATTGTTCGCCTCTGTGAGTTGAATGCAGTCATCACAGGAAACATTTTGAGAATGCTTCTGTCTAGGTTTGATGTGAAGATATACCCGTTTCGAAGGAAGGCCACAAAGTGGTCCAAATATCCACTTGCAGATTCTACAAAAAGAGTGTTTGAAAGCTGAACTATGAAAGCAAGGTTCAACTCTGTGAGTTGAATGCAAACATCACAAAGAAGTTTCTCACAATGCTTCCGTGTAGTTCTGGGAAGTTTATCCCGTTTCCAAAGAAATCCTCAGAGAAGTCCAAATATCCACTTGCAGATTCTACAGAAAGTGTGTTTGGAAACTGCTCCATCTAAAGGAATGTTCAGCTCTGTTAGTTCAATCCAATTATCACTAAGAATTGTCTGTGAATGCTTCCGTTTGGTTTTTAGATGAAGTTATTTCCTTTACTACAGTAGGCCTCAAAGCAGTCCAAATCTCCAATCGCAGATTCTACAAAAAGATTGTTTACAACCTGCTCTATCTATAGGAATATGCAACTATGTGAGTCGAATGCAATCATCACAAAGTAGTTTCTGAGAATGCTTCCATCTAGTTTTTATGTGAAGATTTTCCTTTTCCACCACAGGCCTCAAAGCCCTCCAAATGTCCACTTGCAGATTCTAGAATAAGAGGGTTTCAGAGCTGCTCTGTCAAGAGGAAAGTTCAATTCTTGAAGTGGAACACAAACATCACAAAGCAGTTTCTGAGAATGCTTCTGTTTAGTTTTTCTGTGAAGATGAACCCGTTTCCAACGAAATCTTCACAGAGGTCCACATATCAACTTGCAGAATCCAAAGAAAGAGAGTTTCAAAAGTGCTCCATCAACAGGATTGTTCACCTCTGTGAGTTGAATGCAGTCATCACAGGAAACATTCTGAGAATGCTTCTGTCTAGGTGTGATGTGAAGATATACCCGTTTCGAAGGAAGGCCACAAAGTGGTCCAAATATCCACTTGCAGATTCTACAAAAAGAGTGTTTGAAAGCTGAACTATGAAAGCAAGGTTCAACTCTGTGAGTTGAATGCAAACATCACAAAGAAGTTTCTCAGAATGCTTCCCTGTAGTTCTGGGAAGTTTATCCCGTTTCCAACGAAATCCTCACAGAGGTCCAAATATCCACTTGCAGATTCTACAGAAAGTGTGTTTGGAAACTGCGCCATCTAAAGGAATGTTCAGCTCTGTTAGTTCAATGCAATGATCACTAAGAATTGTCTGTGAATGCTTCCGTTTGGTTTTTAGATGAAGTTATTTCCTTTACTACAGTAGGCCTCAAAGCAGTCCAAATTTCCAATCGCAGATTCTACAAAAAGATTGTTTACAACCTGCTCTATCTATAGGAATGTTCAACTCTGTGAGTCGAATGCAATCATCACAAAGTAGTTTCTGAGAATGCTTCCATCTAGTTTTTATGTGAAGATTTTCCTTTTCCACCACAGGCCTCAAAGCCCTCCAAATGTCCACTTGCCGATTCTAGAATAAGAGGGTTTCAGAGCTGCTCTGTCAAGAGGAAAGTTCAATTCTTGAAGTGGAACACAAACATAACAAAGCAGTTTCTGAGAATGCTCCTGTTTAGTTTTTCTGTGAAGATGAACCCGTTTCCAACGAAATCTTCACAGAGGTCCACATATCCACTTGCAGAATCCAAAGAAAGAGAGTTTCAAAACTGCTCCATCAGCAGGATTGTTCACCTCTGTGAGTTGAATGCAGTCATCACAGGAAACATTCTGAGAATGCTTCTGTCTAGGTTTGATGTGAAGATATACCCGTTTCGAAGGAAGGCCACAAAGTGGTCCAAATATCCACTTGCAGATTCTACAAAAAGAGTGTTTGAAAGCTGAACTATGAAAGCAAGGTTCAACTCTGTGAGTTGAATGCAAACATCACAAAGAAGTTTCTCAGAATGCTTCCGTGTAGTTCTGGGAAGTTTATCCCGTTTCCAACGAAATCCTCAGAGAGGTCCAAATATCCACTTGCAGATTCTACAGAAAGTGTGTTTGGAAACTGCTCCATCTAAAGGAATGTTCAGCTCTGTTAGTTCAATCCAATGATCACTAAGAATTCTCTGTGAATCCTTCCGTTTGGTTTTTAGATGAAGTTATTTCCTTTACTACAGTATGCCTCAAAGCAGTCCGAATCTCCAATCGCAGATTCTACAAAAAGATTGTTTACAACCTGCTCTATCTATAGGAATGTTCAACTCTGTGAGTCGAATGTAATCATCACAAAGTAGTTTCTGAGAATGCTTCCATCTAGTTTTTATGTGAAGATTTTGCTTTTCCACCACAGGCCTCAAAGCCCTCCAAATGTCCACTTGCAGATTCTAGAAAAAGAGGGTTTCAGAGCTGCTCTGTCAAGAGGAAAGTTCAATTCCTGAAGTGGAACACAGACATCACAAAGCAGTTTCTGAGAATGCTCCTGTTTAGTTTTTCTGTGAAAATGAACACGTTTCCAACGAAATCTTCACAGAGGTCCACATATCCACTTGCAGAATCCAAAGAAAGAGAGTTTCAAAACTGCTCCATCAGCAGGATTGTTCACCTCTGTGAGTTGAATGCAGTCATCACAGGAAACATTCTGAGAATGCTTCTGTCTAGGTTTGATGTGAAGATATACCCGTTTCGAAGGAAGGCCACAAAGTGGTCCAAATATCCACTTGCAGATTCTACAAAAAGAGTGTTTGAAAGCTGAACTATGAAAGCAAGGTTCAACTCTGTGAGTTGAATGCAAACATCACAAAGAAGTTTCTCAGAATGCTTCCGTGTAGTTCTGGGAAGTTTATCCCGTTTCCAACGAAATCCTCAGAGAAGTCCAAATATCCACTTGCAGATTCTACAGAAAGTGTGTTTGGAAACTGCGCCATCTAAAGGAATGTTCAGCTCTGTTAGTTCAATGCAATGATCACTAAGAATTGTCTGTGAATGCTTCCGTTTGGTTTTTAGATGAAGTTATTTCCTTTACTACAGTAGGCCTCAAAGCAGTCCAAATCTCCAATCGCAGATTCTACAAAAAGATTGTTTACAACCTGCTCTATCTATAGGAATGTTCAACTCTGTGAGTCGAATGCAATCATCACAAAGTAGTTTCTGAGAATGCTTCCATCTAGTTTTTATGTGAAGATTTTCCTTTTCCACCACAGGCCTCAAAGCCCTCCAAATGTCCACTTGCAGATTCTAGAAAAAGAGGGTTTCAGAGCTGCTCTGTCAAGAGGAAAGTTCAATTCTTGAAGTGGAACACAAACATCACAAAGCAGTTTCTGAGAATGCTTCTGTTTAGTTTTTCTGTGAAGATGAACCCGTTTCCAACGAAATCTTCAAAGAGGTCCACATATCCACTTGCAGAATCCAAAGAAAGAGAGTTTCAAAACTGCTCCATCAACAGGATTGTTCACCTCTGTGAGTTGAATGCAGTCATCACAGGAAACATTCTGAGAATGCTTCTGTCTAGGTTTGATGTGAAGATATACCCGTTTCGAAGGAAGGCCACAAAGTGGTCCAAATATCCACTTGCAGATTCTACAAAAGGAGTGTTTGAAAGCAGAACTATGAAAGCAAGGTTCAACTCTGTGAGTTGAATGCAAACATCACAAAGAAGTTTCTCAGAATGCTTCCGTGTAGTTCTGGGAAGTTTATCCCGTTTCCAACGAAATCCTCAGAGAGGTCCAAATATCCACTTGCAGATTCTACAGAAAGTGTGTTTGGAAACTGCTCCATCTAAAGGAATGTTCAGCTCTGTTAGTTCAATCCAATGATCACTAAGAATTGTCTGTGAATCCTTCCGTTTGGTTTTTAGATGAAGTTATTTCCTTTACTACAGTAGGCCTCAAAGCAGTCCAAATCTCCAATCGGAGATTCTACAAAAAGATTGATTACAACCTGCTCTATCTATAGGAATGTTCAACTCTGTGAGTCGAATGCAATCATCACAAAGTAGTTTCTGAGAATGCTTCCATCTAGTTTTTATGTGAAGATTTTCCTTTTCCACCACAGGCCTCAAAGCCCTCCAAATGTCCACTTGCAGATTCTAGAAAAAGAGGGTTTCAGAGCTGCTCTGTCAAGAGGAAACTTCAATTCTTGAAGTGGAACACAAACATCACAAAGCAGTTTCTGAGAATGCTCCTGTTTAGTTTTTCTGTGAAGATGAACCCGTTTCCAACGAAATCTTCACAGAGGTCCACATATCCACTTGCAGAATCCAAAGAAAGAGAGTTTCAAAACTGCTCCATCAGCAGGATTGTTCACCTCTGTGAGTTGAATGCAGTCATCACAGGAAACATTCTGAGAATGCTTCTGTCTAGGTTTGATGTGAAGATATACCCGTTTCGAAGGAAGGCCACAAAGTGGTCCAAATATCCACTTGCAGATTCTACAAAAAGAGTGTTTGAAAGCTGAACTATGAAAGCAAGGTTCAACTCTGTGAGTTGAATGCAAACATCACAAAGAAGTTTCTCAGAATGCTTCCGTGTAGTTCTGGGAAGTTTATCCCGTTTCCAACGAAATCCTCAGAGAGGTCCAAATATCCACTTGCAGATTCTACAGAAAGTGGGTTTGGCAACTGCTCCATCTAAAGGAATGTTCAGCTCTGTTAGTTCAATCCAATGATCACTAAGAATTGTCTGTGAATGCTTCCGTTTGGTTTTTAGATGAAGTTATTTCCTTTACTACAGTAGGCCTCAAAGCAATCCAAATCTCCAATCGCAGATTCTACAAAAACATTGTTTACAACCTGCTCTATCTATAGGAATGTTCAACTCTGTGAGTCGAATGCAATCATCACAAAGTAGTTTCTGAGAATGCTTCCATCTAGTTTTTATGTGAAGATTTTCCTTTTCCACCACAGGCCTCAAAGCCCTCCAAATATCCACTTGCAGATTCTAGAAAAAGAGGGTTGCAGAGCTGCTCTGTCAAGAGGAAAGTTCAATTCCTGAAGTGGAACACAAACATCACAAAGCAGTTTCTGAGAATGCTTCTGTTTAGTTTTTCTGTGAAGATGAACCCGTTTCCAACGAAATCTTCACAGAGGTCCACATATCCACTTGCAGAATCCAAAGAAAGAGAGTTTCAAAACTGCTCCATCAGCAGGATTGTTCACCTCTGTGAGTTGAATGCAGTCATCACAGGAAACATTCTGAGAATGCTTCTGTCTAGGTTTGATGTGAAGATATACCCGTTTCGAAGGAAGGCCACAAAGTGGTCCAAATATCCACTTGCAGATTCTACAAAAAGAGGGTTTGAAAGCTGAACTATGAAAGCAAGGTTCAACTCTGTGAGTTGAATGCAAACATCACAAAGAAGTTTCTCACAATGCTTCCGTGTAGTTCTGGGAAGTTTATCCCGTTTCCAACGAAATCCTCAGAGAAGTCCAAATATCCACTTGCAGATTCTACAGAAAGTGGGTTTGGAAACTGCTCCATCTAAAGGAATGTTCAGCTCTGTTAGTTCAATGCAATGATCACTAAGAATTGTCTGTGAATGCTTCCGTTTGGTTTTTAGATGAAGTTATTTCCTTTACTACAGTAGGCCTCAAAGCAGTCCAAATCTCCAATCGCAGATTCTACAAAAAGATTGTTTACAACCTGCTCTATCTATAGGAATGTTCAACTCTGTGAGTCGAATGCAATCATCACAAAGTAGTTTGTGAGAATGCTTCCATCTAGTTTTTATGTGAAGATTTTCCTTTTCCACCACAGGCCTCAAAGCCCTCCAAATGTCCACTTGCAGATTCTAGAAAAAGAGTGTTTCAGCGCTGCTCTGTCAAGAGGAAAGTTCAATTCTTGAAGTGGAACACAAACATCACAAAGCAGTTTCTGAGAATGCTTCTGTTTAGTTTTTCTGTGAAGATGAACCCGTTTCCAACGAAATCTTCACAGAGGTCCACATATCCACTTGCAGAATCCAAGGAAAGAGAGTTTCAAAACTGCTCCATCAACAGGATTGTTCACCTCTGTGAGTTGAATGCAGTCATCACAAGAAACATTCTGAGAATGCTTCTGTCTAGGTTTGATGTGAAGATATACCCGTTTCGAAGGAAGGCCACAAAGTGGTCCAAATATCCACTTGCAGATTCTACAAAAAGAGTGTTTGAAAGCTGAACTATGAAAGCAAGGTTCAACTCTGTGAGTTGAATGCAAACATCACAAAGAAGTTTCTCAGAATGCTTCCCTGTAGTTCTGGGAAGTTTATCCCGTTTCCAACGAAATCCTCAGAGAAGTCCAAATATCCACTTGCAGATTCTCCAGAAAGTGGGTTTGGAAACTGCGCCATCTAAAGGAATGCTCAGCTCTGTTAGTTCAATCCAATGATCACTAAGAATTGTCTGTGAATGCTTCCGTTTGGTTTTTAGATGAAGTTATTTCCTTTACTACAGTAGGCCTCAAAGCAGTCCAAATCTCCAATCGCAGATTCTACAAAAATATTGTTTACAACCTGCTCTATCTATAGGAATGTTCAACTCTGTGAGTCGAATGCAATCATCACAAAGTAGTTTCTGAGAATGCTTCCATCTAGTTTTTATGTGAAGATTTTCCTTTTCCACCACAGGCCTCAAAGCCCTCCAAATGTCCACTTGCAGATTCTAGAAAAAGAGGGTTTCAGAGCTGCTCTGTCAAGAGGAAAGTTCAATTCCTGAAGTGGAACACAAACATCACAAAGCAGTTTCTGAGAATGCTCCTGTTTAGTTTTTCTGTGAAGATGCACCCGTTTCCAACGAAATCTTCACAGAGGTCCACATATCCACTTGCAGAATCCAAAGAAAGAGAGTTTCAAAACTGCTCCATCAGCAGGATTGTTCACCTCCGTGAGTTGAATGCAGTCATCACAGGAAACATTCTGAGAATGCTTCTGTCTAGGTTTGATGTGAAGATATACCCGTTTCGAAGGAAGGCCACAAAGTGGTCCAAATATCCACTTGCAGATTCTACAAAAAGAGTGTTTGAAAGCTGAACTATGAAAGCAAGGTTCAACTCTGTGAGTTGAATGCAAACATCACAAAGAAGTTTCTCAGAATGCTTCCGTGTAGTTCTGGGAAGTTTATCCCGTTTCCAACGAAATCCTCAGAGAGGTCCAAATATCCACTTGCAGATTCTACAGAAAGTGTGTTTGGAAACTACGCCATCTAAAGGAATGTTCAGCTCTGTTAGATCAATGCAATGATCACTAAGAATTGTCTGTGAATGCTTCCGTTTGGTTTTTAGATGAAGTTATTTCCTTTACTACAGTAGGCCTGAAAGCAGTCCAAATCTCCAATCGCAGATTCTACAAAAACATTGTTTACAACCTGCTCTATCTATAGGAATGTTCAACTCTGTGAGTCGAATGCAATCATCACAAAGTAGTTTCTGAGAATGCTTCCATCTAGTTTTTATGTGAAGATTTTCCTTTTCCACCACAGGCCTCAAAGCCCTCCAAATGTCCACTTGCAGATTCTAGAAAAAGAGGGTTTCAGAGCTGCTCTGTCAAGAGGAAAGTTCAATTCTTGAAGTGGAACACAAACATCACAAAGCAGTTTCTGAGAATGTTCCTGTTTATTTTTTCTGTGAAGATGAACCCGTTTCCAACGAAATCTTCACAGAGGTCCTCATATCCACTTGCAGAATCCAAAGAAAGAGAGTTTCAAAACTGCTCCATCAACAGGATTGTTCACCTCTGTGAGTTGAATGCAGTCATCACAGGAAACATTCTGAGAATGCTTCTGTCTAGGTTTGATGTGAAGATATACCCGTTTCGAAGGAAGGCCACAAAGTGGTCCAAATATCCACTTGCAGATTCTACAAAAAGAGTGTTTGAAAGCTGAACTATGAAAGCAAGGTTCAACTCTGTGAGTTGAATGCAAACATCACAAAGAAGTTTCTCAGAATGCTTCCGTGTAGTTCTGGGAAGTTTATCCCGTTTCCAACGAAATCCTCAGAGAGGTCCAAATATCCACTTGCAGATTCTACAGAAAGTGTGTTTGGAAACTGTGCCATCTAAAGGAATGTTCAGCTCTGTTAGTTCAATCCAATGATCACTAAGAATTGTCTGTGAATGCTTCCGTTTGGTTTTTAGATGAAGTTATTTCCTTTACTACAGTAGGCCTCAAAGCAGTCCAATTCTCCAATCGCAGATTCTACAAAAAGATTGTTTACAACCTGCTCTATCTATAGGAATGTTCAACTTTGTGAGTCGAATGCAATCATCACAAAGTAGTTTCTGAGAATGCTTCCATCTAGTTTTTATGTGAAGATTTTCCTTTTCCACCACAGGCCTCAAAGCCCTCCAAATGTCCACTTGCAGATTCTAGAATAAGAGGGTTTCAGAGCTGCTCTGTCAAGAGGAACGTTCAATTCCTGAAGTGGAACACAAACATCACAAAGCAGTTTCTGAGAATGCTCCTGTTTAGTTTTTCTGTGAAGATGAACCCGTTTCCAACGAAATCTACACAGAGGTCCACATATCCACTTGCACAATCCAAAGAAAGAGAGTTTCAAAACTGCTCCATCAGCAGGATTTTTCACCTCTGTGAGTTGAATGCAGTCATCACAGGAAACATTCTGAGAATGCTTCTGTCTAGGTTTGATGTGAAGATATACCCGTTTCGAAGGAAGGCCACAAAGTGGTCCCAAATATCCACTTGCAGATTCTACAAAAAGAGTGTTTGAAAGCTGAACTATGAAAGCAAGGTTCAACTCTGTGAGTTGAATGCAAACATCACAAAGAAGTTTCTCAGAATGCTTCCGTGTAGTTCTGGGAAGTTTATCCCGTTTCCAACGAAATCCTCAGAGAGGTCCAAATATCCACTTGCAGATTCTACAGAAAGTGTGTTTGGAAACTGCGCCATCTAAAGGAATGTTCAGCTCTGTTAGTTCAATCCAATGATCACTAAGAATTGTCTGTGAATGCTTCCGTTTGGTTTTTAGATGAAGTTATTTCCTTTACTACAGTAGGCCTCAAAGCAGTCCAAATCTCCAATCGCAGATTCTACAAAAAGATTGTTTACAACCTGCTCTATCTATAGGAATGTTCAACTGCTGTGAGTCGAATGCAATCATCACAAAGTAGTTTCTGAGAATGCTTCCATCTAGTTTTTATGTGAAGATTTTCCTTTTCCACCACAGGCCTCAAAGCCCTCCAAATGTCCACTTGCAGATTCTAGAATAAGAGGGTTTTAGAGCTGCTCTGTCAAGAGGAAAGTTCAATTCCTGAAGTGGAACACAAACATCACAAAGCAGTTTCTGAGAATGCTCCTGTTTAGTTTTTCTGTGAAGATGAACCCGTTTCCAACGAAATCTTCACAGAGGTCCACATATCCACTTGCAGAATCCAAAGAAAGAGAGTTTCAAAACTGCTCCATCAACAGGATTGTTCACCTCTGTGAGTTGAATGCAGTCATCACAGGAAACATTCTGAGAATGCTTCTGTCTAGGTTTGATGTGAAGATATACCCGTTTCGAAGGAAGGCCACAAAGTGGCCCAAATATCCACTTGCAGATTCTACAAAAGGAGTGTTTGAAAGCTGAACTATGAAAGCAAGGTTCAACTCTGTGAGTTGAATGCAAACATCACAAAGAAGTTTCTCACAATGCTTCCGTGTAGTTCTGGGAAGTTTATCCCGTTTCCAACGAAATCCTCAGAGAGGTCCAAATATCCACTTGCAGATTCTACAGAAAGTGTGTTTGGAAACTGCGCCATCTAAAGGAATGTTCAGCTCTGTTAGTTCAATGCAATGATCACTAAGGATTGTCTGTGAATGCTTCCGTTTGGTTTTTAGATGAAGTTATTTCCTCTACTACAGTAGGCCTCAAAGCAGTCCAAATCTCCAATCGCAGATTCTACAAAAAGATTGTTTACAACCTGCTCTATCTATAGGAATGTTCAACTCTGTGAGTCGAATGCAATCATCACAAAGTAGTTTCTGAGAATGCTTCCATCTAGTTTTTATGTGAAGATTTTCCTTTTCCACCACAGGCCTCAAAGCCCTCCAAATGTCCACTTGCAGATTCTAGAATAAGAGGGTTTCAGAGCTGCTCTGTCAAGAGGAAAGTTCAATTCTTGAAGTGGAACACAAACATCACAAAGCAGTTTCTGAGAATGCTCCTGTTTCGTTTTTCTGTGAAGATGAACCCGTTTCCAACGAAATCTTCACAGAGGTCCACATATCCACTTGCAGAATCCAAAGAAAGAGAGTTTCAAAACTGCTCCATCAGCAGGATTGTTCACCTCTGTGAGTTGAATGCAGTCATCACAGGAAACATTCTGAGAATGCTTCTGTCTAGGTTTGATGTGAAGATATACCCGTTTCGAAGGAAGGCCACAAAGTGGTCCAAATATCCACTTGCAGATTCTACAAAAAGAGTGTTTGAAAGCTGAACTATGAAAGCAAGGTTCAACTCTGTGAGTTGAATGCAAACATCACAAAGAAGTTTCTCACAATTCTTCCGTGTAGTTCTGGGAAGTTTATCCCATTTCCAACGAAATCCTCAGAGAAGTCCAAATATCCAATTGCAGATTCTACAGAAAGTGTGTTTGGAAACTGCTCCATCTAAAGGAATGTTCAGCTCTGTTAGTTCAATCCAATGATCACTAAGAATTGTCTGTGAATGCTTCCGTTTGGTTTTTAGATGAAGTTATTTCCTTTACTACAGTAGGCCTCAAAGCAGTCCAAATCTCCAATCGCAGATTCTACAAAAAGATTGTTTACAACCTGCTCTATCTATAGGAATGTTCAACTCTGTGAGTCGAATGCAATCATCACAAAGTAGTTTCTGAGAATTCTTCCATCTAGTTTTTATGTGAAGATTTTCCTTTTCCACCACAGGCCTCAAAGCCCTCCAAATGTCCACTTGCAGATTCTAGAAAAAGAGGGTTGCAGAGCTGCTCTGTCAAGAGGAAAGTTCAATTCTTGAAGTGGAACACAAACATCACAAAGCAGTTTCTGAGAATGCTTCTGTTTAGTTTTTCTGTGAACATGAACCCGTTTCCAACGAAATCTTCACAGAGGTCCACATATCAACTTGCAGAATCCAAAGAAAGAGAGTTTCAAAAGTGCCCCATCAACAGGATTGTTCACCTCTGTGAGTTGAATGCAGTCATCACAGGAAACATTCTGAGAATGCTTCTGTCTAGGTTTGATGTGAAGATATACCCGTTTCGAAGGAAGGCCACAAAGTGGTCCAAATATCCACTTGCAGATTCTACAAAAAGAGTGTTTGAAAGCTGAACTATGAAAGCAAGGTTCAACTCTGTGAGTTGAATGCAAACATCACAAAGAAGTTTCTCAGAATGCTTCCGTTTAGTTCTGGGAAGTTTATCCCGTTTCCAACGAAATCCTCAGAGAAGTCCAAATATCCACTTGCAGATTCTACAGAAAGTGGGTTTGGAAACTGCTCCATCTAAAGGAATGTTCAGCTCTGTTAGTTCAAACCAATGATCACTAAGAATTGTCTGTGAATGCTTCCGTTTGGTTTTTAGGTGAAGTTATTTCCTTTACTACAGTAGGCCTCAAAGCAGTCCAAATCTCCAATCGAAGATTCTACAAAAAGATTGTTTACAACCTGCTCTATCTATAGGAATGTTCAACTCTGTGAGTCGAATGCAATCATCACAAAGTAGTTTCTGAGAATGCTTCCATCTAGTTTTTATGGGAAGATTTTCCTTTTCCACCACAGGCCTCAAAGCCCTCCAAATGTCCACTTGCAGATTCTAGAAAAAGAGGATTTCAGAGCTGCTCTGTCAAAAGGAAAGTTCAATTCTTCAAGTGGAACACAAACATCACAAAGCAGTTTCTGAGAATGCTCCTGTTAATTTTTCTGTGAAGATGAACCCGTTTCCAACGAAATCTTCACAGAGGTCCACATATCCACTTGCAGAATCAAAAGAAAGGGAGTTTCAAAAGGGCTCCATCAACAGGATTGTTCACCTCTGTGAGTTGAATGCAGTCATCACAGGAAACATTCTGAGAATGCTTCTGTCTAGGTTTGATGTGAAGATATACCCGTTTCGAAGGAAGGCCAGAAAGTGGTCCAAATATCCACTTGCAGATTCTACAAAAAGAGTGTTTGAAAGCTGAACTATGAAAGCAAGGTTCAACTCTGTGAGTTGAATGCAAACATCACAAAGAAGTTTCTCAGAATGCTTCCGTGTAGTTCTGGGAAGTTTATCCCGTTTCCAACGAAATCCTCAGAGAAGTCCAAATATCCACTTGCAGATTCTACAGAAAGTGGGTTTGGAAACTGCTCCATCTAAAGGAATGTTCAGCTCTGTTAGTTCAATCCAATGATCACTAAGAATTGTCTGTGAATGCTTCCGTTTGGTTTTTAGATGAAGTTATTTCCTTTACTACAGTAGGCCTCAAAGCAGTCCAAATCTCCAATCGCAGATTCTACAAAAAGATTGTTTACAACCTGCTCTATGTATAGGAATGTTCAACTCTGTGAGTCGAATGCAATCATCACAAAGTAGTTTCTGAGAATGCTTCCATCTAGTTTTTATGTGAAGATTTTCCTTTTCCACCACAGGCCTCAAAGCCCTCCAAATGTCCACTTGCAGATTCTAGAATAAGAGGGTTTTAGAGCTGCTCTGTCAAGAGGAAAGTTCAATTCCTGAAGTGGAACACAAACATCACAAAGCAGTTTCTGAGAATGCTCCTGTTTAGTTTTTCTGTGAAGATGAACCCGTTTCCAACGAAATCTTCACAGAGGTCCACATATCCACTTGCAGAATCCAAAGAAAGAGAGTTTCAAAACTGCTCCATCAGCAGGATTGTTCACCTCTGTGAGTTGAATGCAGTCATCACAGGAAACATTCTGAGAATGCTTCTGTCTAGGTTTGATGTGAAGATATACCCGTTTCGAAGGAAGGCCACAAAGTGGTCCAAATATCCACTTGCAGATTCTACAAAAAGAGTGTTTGAAAGCTGAACTATGAAAGCAAGGTTCAACTCTGTGAGTTGAATGCAAACATCACAAAGAAGTTTCTCAGAATGCTTCCGTGTAGTTCTGGGAAGTTTACCCGTTTCCAACGAAAATCTCAGAGAGGTCCAAATATCCACTTGCAGATTCTACAGAAAGTGTGTTTGGAAACTGCTCCATCTAAAGGAATGTTCAGCTCTGTTAGTTCAATGCAATGATCACTAAGAATTGTCTGTGAATGCTTCCGTTTGGTTTTTAGATGAAGTTATTTCCTTTACTACAGTAGGCCTCAAAGCAGTCCAAATCTCCAATCGCAGATTCTACAAAAAGATTGTTTACAACCTGCTCTATCTATAGGAATGTTCAACTCTGTGAGTCGAATGCAATCATCACAAAGTAGTTTCTGAGAATGCTTCCATCTAGTTTTTATGTGAAGATTTTCCTTTTGCACCACAGGCCTCAAAGCCCTCCAAATGTCCACTTGCAGATTCTAGAAAAAGAGGGTTTCAGAGCTGCTCTGTCAAGAGGAAAGTTCAATTCTTGAAGTGGAACACAAACATCACAAAGCAGTTTACTGAGAATGCTTCTGTTTAGTTTTTCTGTGAAGATGAACCCGTTTCCAACGAAATCTTCACAGAGGTCCACATATCCACTTGCAGAATCCAAAGAAAGAGAGTTTCAAAACTGCTCCATCAGCAGGATTGTTCACCTCTGTGAGTTGAATGCAGTCATCACAGGAAACATTCTGAGAATGCTTCTGTCTAGGTTTGATGTGAAGATATACCCGTTTCGAAGGAAGGCCACAAAGTGGTCCAAATATCCACTTGCAGATTCGACAAAAAGAGTGTTTGAAAGCTGAACTATGAAAGCAAGGTTCAACTCTGTGAGTTGAATGCAAACATCACAAAGAAGTTTCTCACAATGCTTCCGTGTAGTTCTGGGAAGTTTATCCCGTTTCCCACGAAATCCTCAGAGAGGTCCAAATATCCACTTGCAGATTCTACAGAAAGTGGGTTTGGAAACTGCTCCATCTAAAGGAATGTTCAGCTCTGTTAGTTCAATCCAATGATCACTAAGAATTGTCTGTGAATGCTTCCGTTTGGTTTTTAGATGAAGTTATTTCCTTTACTACAGTAGGCCTCAAAGCAGGCCAAATCTCCAATCGCAGATTCTACAAAAAGATTGTTTACAACCTGCTCTATCTATAGGAATGTTCAACTCTGTGAGTCGAATGCAATCATCACAAAGTAGTTTCTGAGAATGCTTCCATCTAGTTTTTATGGGAAGATTTTCCTTTTCCACCACAGGCCTCAAAGCCCTCCAAATGTCCACTTGCAGATTCTAGAAAAAGAGGGTTTCAGAGCTGCTCTATCAAGAGGAAGGTTCAATTCTTGAAGTGGAACACAAACATCACAAAGCAGTTTCTGAGAATGCTTCTGTTTAGTTTTTCTGTGAAGATGAACCCGTTTCCAACGAAATCTTCACAGAGGTCCACATATCCACTTGCAGAATCCAAAGAAAGAGAGTTTCAAAACAGCTCCATCAGCAGGATTGTTCACCTGCTGTGAGTTGAATGCAGTCATCACAGGAAACATTCTGAGAATGCTTCTGTCTAGGTTTGATGTGAAGATATACCCGTTTCGAAGGAAGGCCACAAAGTGGTCCAAATATCCACTTGCAGATTCTACAAAAAGAGTGTTTGAAAGCTGAACTATGAAAGCAAGGTTCAACTCTGTGAGTTGAATGCAAACATCACAAAGAAGTTCTCAGAATGCTTTCCGTGTAGTTCTGGGAAGTTTATCCCGTTTCCAACGAAATCCTCAGAGAAGTCCAAATATCCACTTGCAGATTCTACAGAAAGTGTGTTTGGAAACTGCGCCATCTAAAGGAATGTTCAGCTCTGTTAGTTCAATCCAATGATCACTAAGAATTGTCTGTGAATGCTTCCGTTTGGTTTTTAGATGAAGTTATTTCCTTTACTACAGTAGGCCTCAAAGCAGTCCAAATCTCCAATCGCAGATTCTACAAAAAGATTGTTTACAACCTGCTCTATCTATAGGAATGTTCAACTCTGTGAGTCGAATGCAATCATCACAAAGTAGTTTCTGAGAATGCTTCCATCTAGTTTTTATGTGAAGATTTTCCTTTTCCACCACAGGCCTCAAAGCCCTCCAAATGTCCACTTGCAGATTCTAGAAAAAGAGGGTTTCAGAGCTGCTCTGTCAAAAGGAAAGTTCAATTCTTGAAGTGGAACACAAACATCACAAAGCAGTTTCTGAGAATGCTTCTGTTTAGTTTTTCTGTGAAGATGAACCGGTTTCCAACGAAATCTTCACAGAGGTCCACATATCCACTTGCAGAATCCAAAGAAAGAGAGTTTCATAACTGCTCCATCAGCAGGATTGTTCACCTCTGTGAGTTGAATGCAGTCATCACAGGAAACATTCTGAGAATGCTTCTGTCTAGGTTTGATGTGAAGATATACCCGTATCGAAGGAAGGCCACAAAGTGGTCCAAATATCCACTTGCAGATTCTACAAAAAGAGTGTTTGAAAGCTGAACTATGAAAGCAAGGTTCAACTGTGTGAGTTGAATGCAAACATCACAAAGAAGTTTCTCACAATGCTTCCGTGTAGTTCTGGGAAGTTTATCCCGTTTCCAACGAAATCCTCAGAGAAGTCCAAATATCCACTTGCAGATTCTACAGAAAGTGGGTTTGGAAACTGCTCCATCTAAAGGAATGTTCAGCTCTGTTAGTTCAATCCAATGATCACTAAGAATTGTCTGTGAATGCTTCCGTTTGGTTTTTAGATGAAGTTATTTCCTTTACTACAGTAGGCCTCAAAGCAGTCCAAATCTCCAATCGCAGATTCTACAAAAAGATTGTTTACAACCTGCTCTATCTATAGGAATGTTCAACTCTGTGAGTCGAATGCAATCATCACAAAGTAGTTTCTGAGAATGCTTCCATCTAGTTTTCATGTGAAGATTTTCCTTTTCCACCACAGGCCTCAAAGCCCTCCAAATGTCCACTTGCAGATTCTAGAAAAAGAGGGTTTCAGAGCTGCTCTGTCAAGAGGAAAGTTCAATTCTTGAAGTGGAACACAAACATCACAAAGCAGTTTCTGAGAATGTTTCTGTTTAGTTTTTCTGTGAAGATGAACCCGTTTCCAACGAAATCTTCACAGAGGTCCACATATCAACTTGCAGAATCCAAAGAAAGAGAGTTTCAAAACTGCTCCATCAACAGGATTGTTCACCTCTGTGAGTTGAATGCAGTCATCACAGGAAACATTCTGAGAATGCTTCTGTCAAGGTTTGATGTGAAGATATACCCGTTTCCAAGGAAGGCCAAAATTGGTCCAAATATCCATTTGCAGATTCTACAAAAAGAGTGTTTGAAAGCTGAACTATGAAAGCAAGGTTCAACTCTGTGAGTTGAATGCAAACATCACAAAGAAGTTTCTCAGAATACTTCCGTGTAGTTCTGGGAAGTTTATCCCGTTTCCAACGAAATCCTCAGAGAAGTCCAAATATCCACTTGCAGATTCTACAGAAAGTGTGTTTGGAAACTGCGCCATCTAAAGGAATGTTCAGCTCTGTTAGTTCAATGCAATGATCACTAAGAATTGTCTGTGAATGCTTCCGTTTGGTTTTTAGATGAAGTTATTTCCTTTACTACAGTAGGCCTCAAAGCAGTCCAAATCTCCAATCGCAGATTCTACAAAAAGATTGTTTACAACCTGCTCTATCTATAGGAATGTTCAACTCTGTGAGTCGAATGCAATCATCACAAAGTAGTTTCTGAGAATGCTTCCATCTAGTTTTTATGTGAAGATTTTCCTTTTCCACCACAGGCCTCAAAGCCCTCCAAATGTCCACTTGCAGATTCTAGAAAAAGAGGGTTTCAGAGCTGCTCTGTCAAGAGGAAAGTTCAATTCTTGAAGTGGAACACAAACATCACAAAACAGTTTCTGAGAATGCTCCTGTTTAGTTTTTCTGTGAAGATGAACCCGTTTCCAACGAAATCTTCACAGAGGTCCACATATCCACTTGCAGAATCCAAAGAAAGAGAGTTTCAAAACTGCTCCATCAGAAGGATTGTTCACCTCTGTGAGTTGAATGCAGTCATCACAGGAAACATTCTGAGAATGCTTCTGTCTAGGTTTGATGTGAAGATATACCCGTTTCGAAGGAAGGCCACAAAGTGGTCCAAATATCCTCTTGCAGATTCTACAAAAAGAGTGTTTGAAAGCTGAACTATGAAAGCAAGGTTCAACTCTGTGAGTTGAATGCAAACATCACAAAGAAGTTTCTCAGAATGCTTCCCGTGTAGTTCTGGGAAGTTTATCCCGTTTCCAACGAAATCCTCAGAGAAGTCCAAATATCCACTTGCAGATTCTACAGAAAGTGGGTTTGGAAACTGCTCCATCTAAAGGAATGTTCAGCTCTGTTAGTTCAATGCAATGATCACTAAGAATTGTCTGTGAATGCTTTCCGTTTGGTTTTTAGATGAAGTTATTCCCTTTACTACTGTAGGCCTCAAAGCAGTCCAAATCTCCAATCGCAGATTCTACAAAAAGATTGTTTACAACCTGCTCTATCTATAGGAATGTTCAACTCTGTGAGTCGAATGCAATCATCACAAAGTAGTTTCTGAGAATGCTTCCATCTAGTTTTTATGTGAAGATTTTCCTTTTCCACCACAGGCCTCAAAGCCCTCCAAATGTCCACTTGCAGATTCTAGAAAAAGAGGGTTTCAGAGCTGCTCTGTCAAGAGGAAAGTTCAATTCTTGAAGTGGAACACAAACATCACAAAGCAGTTTCTGAGAATGCTCCTGTTTAGTTTTTCTGTGAAGATGAACCCGTTTCCAACGAAATCTTCACAGAGGTCCACATATCCACTTGCAGAATCCAAAGAAAGAGAGTTCCAAAACTGCTCCATCAGCAGGATTGTTCACCTCTGTGACTTGAATGCAGTCATCACAGGAAACATTCTGAGAATGCTTCTGTCTAGGTTTGATGTGAAGATATACCCGTTTCGAAGGAAGGCCACAAAGTGGTCCAAATATCCACTTGCAGATTCTACATAAAGAGTGTTTGAAAGCTGAACTATGAAAGCAAGGTTCAACTCTGTGAGTTGAATGCAAACGTCACAAAGAAGTTTCTCACAATGCTTCCGTGTAGTTCTGGGAAGTTTATCCCGTTTCCAACGAAATCCTCAGAGAGGTCCAAATATCCACTTGCAGATTCTACAGAAAGTGTGTTTGGAAACTGCTCCATCTAAAGGAATGTTCAGCTCTGTTAGTTCAATCCAATGATCACTAAGAATTGTCTGTGAATGCTTCCGTTTGGTTTTTAGATGAAGTTATTTCCTTTACTACAGTAGGCCTCAAAGCAGTCCAAATCTCCAATCGCAGATTCTACAAAAAGATTGTTTACAACCTGCTCTATCTATAGGAATGTTCAACTCTGTGAGTCGAATGCAATCATCACAAAGTAGTTTCTGAGAATGCTTCCATCTAGTTTTTATGTGAAGATTTTCCTTTTCCACCACAGGCCTCAAAGCCCTCCAAATGTCCACTTGCAGATTCTAGAAGAAGAGGGTTTCAGAGCTGCTCTGTCAAGAGGAAAGTTCAATTCTTGAAGTGGAACACAAATATCACAAAGCAGTTTCTGAGAATGCTTCTGTTTAGTTTTTCTGTGAAGATGAACCCGTTTCCAACGAAATCTTCACAGAGGTCCACGTATCCACTTGCAGAATCCAAAGAAAGAGAGTTTCAAAACTGCTCCATCAGCAGGATTGTTCACCTCTGTGAGTTGAATGCAGTCATCACAGGAAACATTCTGAGAATGCTTCTGTCTAGGTTTGATGTGAAGATATACCCGTTTCGAAGGAAGGCCACAAAGTGGTCCAAATATCCACTTGCAGATTCTACAAAAAGAGTGTTTGAAAGCTGAACTATGAAAGCAAGGTTCAACTCTGTGTGTTGAATGCAAACATCACAAAGAAGTTTCTCAGAATGCTTCCGTGTAGTTCTGGGAAGTTTATCCCGTTTCCAACGAAATCCTCAGAGAAGTCCAAATATCCACTTGCAGATTCTACAGAAAGTGGGTTTGGAAACTGCTCCATCTAAAGGAATGTTCAGCTCTGTTAGTTTAATCCAATGATCACTAAGAATTGTCTGTGAATGCTTCCGTTTGGTGTTTAGATGAAGTTATTTCCTTTACTACAGTAGGCCTCAAAGCAGTCCAAATCTCCAATCGCATATTCTACAAAAAGATTGTTTACAACCTGCTCTATCTATAGGAATGTTCAACCCTGTGAGTCGAATGCAATCATCACAAAGTAGTTTCTGAGAATGCTTCCATCTAGTTTTTATGTGAAGATTTTCCTTTTCCACCACAGGCCTCAAAGCCCTCCAAATGTCCACTTGCAGATTCTAGAAAAAGAGGGTTTCAGAGCTGCTCTGTCAAGAGGAAAGTTCAATTCTTGAAGTGGAACACAAACATCACAAAGTAGTTTCTGAGAATGCTCCTGTTTAGTTTTTCTGTGAAGATGAACCCGTTTCCAACGAAATCTTCACAGAGGTCCACATATCAACTTGCAGAATCCAAAGAAAGAGAGTTTCAAAACTGCTCCATCAGCAGGATTGTTCACCTCTGTGAGTTGAATGCAGTCATCACAGGAAACATTCTGAGAATGCTTCTGTCTAGGTTTGATGTGAAGATATACCCGTTTCGAAGGAAGGCCACAAAGTGGTCCAAATATCCACTTGCAGATTCTACAAAAAGAGTGTTTGAAAGCTGAACTATGAAAGCAAGGTTCAACTCTGTGAGTTGAATGCAAACATCACAAAGAAGTTTCTCAGAATGCTTCCGTGTAGTTCTGGGAAGTTTATCCCTTTTCCAACGAAATCCTCAGAGAAGTCCAAATATCCACTTGCAGATTCTACAGAAATTGTGTTTGGAAACTGCTCCATCTAAAGGAATGTTCAGCTCTGTTAGTTCAATCCAATGATCACTAAGAATTGTCTGTGAATGCTTCCGTTTGGTTTTTAGATGAAGTTATTTCCTTTACTACAGTAGGCCTCAAAGCAGTCCAAATCTCCAATCGGAGATTCTACAAAAAGATTGTTTACTACCTGCTCTATCTATAGGAATGTTCAACTCTGTGAGTCGAATGCAATCATCGCAAAGTAGTTTCTGAGAATGCTTCCATCTAGTTTTTATGTGAAGAGTTTCCTTTTCCACCACAGGCCTCAAAGCCCTCCAAATATCCACTTGCAGATTCTAGAAAAAGAGGGTTTGAGAGCTGCTCTATCAAGAGGAAAGTTCAATTCCTGAAGTGGAACACAAACATCACAAAGCAGTTTCTGAGAATGCTCCTGTTTAGTTTTTCTGTGAAGATGAACCCGTTTCCAACGAAATCTTCACAGAGGTCCACATATCCACTTGCAGAATCCAAAGAAAGAGAGTTTCAAAACTGCTCCATCAGCAGGATTGTTCACCTCTGTGAGTTGAATGCAGTCATCACAGGAAACATTCTGAGAATGCTTCTGTCTAGGTTTGATGTGAAGATATACCCGTTTCGAAGGAAGGCCACAAAGTGGTCCAAGTATCCACTTGCAGATTCTACAAAAAGAGTGTTTGAAAGCTGAACTATGAAAGCAAGGTTCAACTCTGTGAGTTGAATGCAAACATCCAAAGAAGTTTCTCAGAATGCTTCCATGTAGTTCTGGGAAGTTTATCCCGTTTCCAACGAAATCCTCAGAGAAGTCCAAATATCCACTTGCAGATTCTACAGAAAGTGTGTTTGGAAACTGCTCCATCTCAAGGAATGTTCAGCTCTGTTAGTTCAATCCAATGATCACTAAGAATTGTCTGTGAATGCTTCCGTTTGGTTTTTAGATGAAGTTATTTCCTTTACTACAGTAGGCCTCAAAGCAGTCCAAATCTCCAATCGCAGATTCTACAAAAAGATTGTTTACAACCTGCTCTATCTATAGGAATGTTCAACTCTGTGAGTCGAATGCAATCATCACAAAGTAGTTTCTGAGAATGCTTCCATCTAGTTTTTATGGGAAGATTTTCCTTTTCCACCACAGGCCTCAAAGCCCTCCAAATGTCCACTTGCAGATTCTAGAAAAAGAGGGTTTCAGAGCTGCTCTGTCAAGAGGAAAGTTCAATTCTTGAAGTGGAACACAAACATCACAAAGCAGTTTCTGAGAATGCTCCTGTTTATTTTTTCTGTGAAGATGAACCCGTTTCCAACGAAATCTTCCCAGAGGTCCACATATCCACTTGCAGAATCCAAAGAAAGAGAGTTTCAAAACTGCTCCATCAGCAGGATTTTTCACCTCTGTGAGTTGAATGCAGTCATCACAGGAAACATTCTGAGAATGCTTCTGTCTAGGTTTGATGTGAAGATATACCCGTTTCGAAGGAAGGCCACAAAGTGGTCCAAATATCCACCTGCAGATTCTACAAAAAGAGTGTTTGAAAGCTGAACTATGAAAGCAAGGTTCAACTCTGTGAGTTGAATGCAAACATCACAAAGAAGTTTCTCACAATGCTTCCGTGTAGTTCTGGGAAGTTTATCCCGTTTCCAACGATATCCTCAGAGAGGTCCAAATATCCACTTGCAGATTCTACAGAAAGTGTGTTTGGAAACTGCGCCATCTAAAGGAATGTTCAGCTCTGTTAGTTCAATCCAATGATCACTAAGAATTGTCTGTGAATGCTTCCGTTTGGTTTTTAGATGAAGTTATTTCCTTTACTACAGTAGGCCTCAAAGCAGTCCAAATCTCCAATCGCAGATTCTACAAAAAGATTGTTTACAACCTGCTCTATCGATAGGAATGTTCAACTCTGTGAGTCGAATGCAATCATCACAAAGTAGTTTCTGAGAATGCTTCCATCTAGTTTTTATGTGAAGATTTTCCTTTTCCACCACAGGCCTCAAAGCCCTCCAAATGTCCACTTGCAGATTCTAGAAAAAGAGGGTTTCAGAGCTGCTCTGTCAAGAGTAAAGTTCAATTCCTGATGTGGAACACAAACATCACAAAGCAGTTTCTGAGAATGCTCCTGTTTAGTTTTTTTGTGAAGATGAACCCGTTTCCAACGAAATCTTCACAGAGGTCCACATATCCACTTGCAGAATCCAAAGAAAGAGAGTTTCAAAACTGCTCCATCAGCAGGATTGTTCACCTCTGTGAGTTGAATGCAGTCATCACAGGAAACATTCTGAGAATGCTTCTGTCTAGGTTTGATGTGAAGATATACCCGTTTCGAAGGAAGGCCACAAAGTGGTCCAAATATCCACTTGCAGATTCTACAAAAAGAGTGTTTGAAAGCTGAACTATGAAAGCAAGGTTCAACTCTGTGAGTTGAATGCAAACATCACAAAGAAGTTTCTCAGAATGCTTCCGTGTAGTTCAGGGAAGTTTATCCCGTTTCCAACGAAATCCTCAGAGAGGTCCAAATATCCACTTGCAGATTCTACAGAAAGTGTGTTTGGAAACTGCTCCATCTAAAGGAATCTTCAGCTGCTGTTAGTTCAATCCAATGATCACTAAGAATTGTCCTGTGAATGCTTCCGTTTGGTTTTTAGATGAAGTTATTTCCTTTACTACAGTAGGCCTCAAAGCAGTCCAAATCTCCAATCGCAGATTCAACAAAAAGATTGTTTACAACCTACTCTATCTATAGGAATGTTCAACTCTGTGAGTCGAATGCAATCATCACAAAGTAGTTTCTGAGAATGCTTCTATCTAGGTTTTATGTGAAGATGTTTCCTTTTCCACCACAGGCCTCAAAGCCCTCCAAATGTCCACTTGCAGATTCTAGAAAAAGGGAGTTTCAGAGCTGCTGTGTCAAGAGGAAAGTTCAATTCTTGAAGTGGAACACAAACAACACAAAGGAGTTTCTGAGAATGCTTCTGTTTAGTTTTTCTGTGAAGATGAACCCGTTTCCAACGAAATCTTCACAGAGGTCCACATATCCACTTGCAGAATCCAAAGAAAGAGAGTTTCAAAACTGCTCCATCAGCAGGATTGTTCACCTCTGTGAGTTGAATGCAGTCATCACAGGAAACATTCTGAGAATGCTTCTGTCTAGGTTTGATGTGAAGATATACCCGTTTCGAAGGAAGGCCACAAAGTGGTCCAAATATCCACTTGCAGATTCTACAAAAAGAGTGTTTGAAAGCTGAACTATGAAAGCAAGGTTCAACTCTGTGAGTTGAATGCAAACATCACAAAGAAGTTTCTCAGAATGCTTCCGTGTAGTTCTCGGAAGTTTATCCCGTTTCCAACGAAATCCTCAGAGAAGTCCAAATGTCCACTTGCAGATTCTACAGAAAGTGTGTTTGGAAACTGCTCCATCTAAAGGAATGTTCAGCTCTGTTAGTTCAATGCAATGATCACTAAGAATTGTCTGTGAATGGTTCCGTTTGGTTTTTAGATGAAGATATTTCCTTTACTACAGTAGGCCTCAAAGCAGTCCAAATCTCCAATCGCAGATTCTAAAAAAAAGATTGTTTACAACCTGCTCTATCTATAGGAATGTTCAACTCTGTGAGTCGAATGCAATCATCACAAAGTAGTTTCTGAGAATGCTTCCATCTAGTTTTTATGTGAAGATTTTCCTTTTCCACCACAGGCCTCAAAGCCCTCCAAATGTCCACTTGCAGATTCTAGAATAAGAGGGTTTCAGAGCTGCTCTGTCAAGAGGAAAGTTCAATTCCTGAAGTGGAACACAAACATCACAAAGCAGTTTGCTGAGAATGCTTCTGTTTAGTTTTTCTGTGAAGATGAACCCATTTCCAACGAAATCTTCACAGAGGTCCACATATCCACTTGCAGAATCCAAAGAAAGAGAGTTTCAAAACTGCTCCATCAGCAGGATTGTTCACCTCTGTGAGTTGAATGCAGTCATCACAGGAAACATTCTGAGAATGCTTCTGTCTAGGTTTGATGTGAAGATATACCCGTTTCGAAGGAAGGCCACAAAGTGGTCCAAATATCCACTTGCAGATTCTACAAAAAGAGTGTTTGAAAGCTGAACTATGAAAGCAAGGTTCAACTCTGTGAGTTGAATGCAAACATCACAAAGAAGTTTCTCAGAATACTTTCGTGTAGTTCTGGGAAGTTTATCCCGTTTCCAACGAAATCCTCAGAGAGGTCCAAATATCCACTTGCAGATTCTACAGAAAGTGTGTTTGGAAACTGCTCCATCTAAAGGAATGTTCAGCTCTGTTAGTTCTATCCAATGATCACTAAGAATTGTCTGTGAATGCTTCCGTTTGGTTTTTAGATGAAGTTCTTTCCTTTACTACAGTAGGCCTCAAAGCAGTCCAAATCTCCAATCGCAGATTCTTCAAAAAGATTGTTTACTACCTGCTCTATCTATAGGAATGTTCAACTCTGTGAGTCGAATGCAATCATCGCAAAGTAGTTTCTGAGAATGCTTCCATCTAGTTTTTATGTGAAGATTTTCCTTTTCCACCACAGGCCTCAAAGCCCTCCAGATGTCCACTTGCAGACTCTAGAAAAAGAGGGTTTCAGAGCTGCTCTGTCAAGAGGAAAGTTCAATTCTTGAAGTGGAACACAAACATCACAAAGCAGTTTCTGAGAATGCTCCTGTTTAGTTTTTCTGTGAAGATGAACCCGTTTCCAACGAAATCTTCACAGAGGTCCACATATCCACTTGCAGAGTCCAAAGAAAGAGAGTTTCAAAACTGCTCCATCAGAAGGATTGTTCACCACTGTGAGTTGAATGCAGTCATCACAGGAAACATTCTGAGAATGCTTCTGTCTAGGTTTGATGTGAAGATATACCCGTTTCGAAGGAAGGCCACAAAGTGGTCCAAATATCCACTTGCAGATTCTACAAAAAGAGTGTTTGAAAGCTGAACTATGAAAGCAAGGTTCAACTCTGTGAGTTGAATGCAAACATCACAAAGATGTTTCTCAGAATGCTTCCGTGTAGTTCTGGGAAGTTTATCCCGTTTCCAACGAAATCCTCAGAGAAGTCCAAATATCCCCTTGCAGATTCTACAGAAAGTGGGTTTGGAAACTGCTCCATCTAAAGGAATGTTCAGCTCTGTTAGATCAATCCAATAATCACTAAGAATTGTCTGTGAATGCTTCCGTTTGGTTTTTAGATGAAGTTATTTCCTTTACTACAGTAGGCCTCAAAGCAGTCCAAATCTCCAATCGCAGATTCTACAAAAAGATGGTTTACAACCTGCTCTATCTATAGGAATGTTCAACTCTGTGAGTCGAATGCAATCATCACAAAGTAGTTTCTGAGAACGCTTCCATCTAGTTTTTATATGAAGATTTTCCTTTTCCACCACAGGCCTCAAAGCCCTCCAAATGTCCACTTGCAGATTCTAGAATAAGAGGGTTTCAGAGCTGCTCTGTCAAGAGGAAAGTTCAATTCCTGAAGTGGAACACAAACATCACAAAGCAGTTTCTGAGAATGCTTCTGTTTAGTTTTTCTGTGAAGATGAACCCGTTTCCAAAGAAATCTTCACAGAGGTCCACATATCCACTTGCAGAATCCAAAGAAAGAGAGTTTCAAAACTGCTCCATCAGCAGGATTGTTCACCTTCTGTGAGTTGAATGCAGTCATCACAGGAAACATTCTGAGAATGCTTCTGTCTAGGTTTGATGTGAAGATATACCCGTTTCGAAGGAAGGCCACAAAGTGGTCCAAATATCCACTTGCAGATTCTACAAAAAGAGTGTTTGAAAGCTGAACTATGAAAGCAAGGTTCAACTCTGTGAGTTGAATGCAAACATCACAAAGAAGTTTCTCAGAATACTTCCGTGTAGTTCTGGGAAGTTTATCCCGTTTCCAACGAAATCCTCAGAGAGGTCCAAATATCCACTTTCAGATTCTACAGAAAGTGTGTTTGGAAACTGCTCCATCTAAAGGAATGTTCAGCTCTGTTAGTTCAATCCAATGATCACTAAGAATTGTCTGTGAATGCTTCCGTTTGGTTTTTAGATGAAGTTATTTCCTTTAATACAGTAGGCCTCAAAGCAGTCCAAATCTCCAATCGCAGATTCTACAAAAAGATTGTTTACAACCTGCTCTATCTATAGGAATGTTCAACTCTGTGAGTCGAATGCAATCATCGCAAAGTAGTTTCTGAGAATGCTTCCTCTAGTTTTTATGGGAAGATTTTCCTTTTCCACCACAGGCCTCAAAGCCCTCCAAATGTCCACTTGCAGATTCTAGAAAAAGAGGGTTTCAGAGCTGCTCTGTCAAGAGGAAAGTTCAATTCTTGAAGTGGAACACAAACATCACAAAGCAGTTTCTGAGAATGCTCCTGTTTAGTTTTTCTGTGAAGATGAACCCGTTTCCAACGAAATCTTCACAGAGGTCCACATATCCACTTGCAGAATCCAAAGAAAGAGAGTTTCAAAACTGCTCCATCAACAGGATTGTTCAGCTCTGTGAGTTGAATGCAGTCATCACAGGAAACATTCTGAGAATGCTTCTGTCTAGGTTTGATGTGAAGATATACCCGTTTCGAAGGAAGGCCACAAAGTGATCCAAATATCCACTTGCAGATTCTACAAAAAGAGTGTTTGAAAGCTGAACTATGAAAGCAAGGTTCAACTCTGTGAGTTGAATGCAAACATCACAAAGAAGTTTCTCACAATGCTTCCGTGTAGTTCTGGGAAGTTTATCCCGTTTCCAACGAAATCCTCAGAGAGGTCCAAATATCCACTTGCAGATTCTACAGAAAGTGTGTTTGGAAACTACGCCATCTAAAGGAATGTTCAGCTCTGTTAGTTCAATGCAATGATCACTAAGAATTGTCTGTGAATGCTTCCGTTTGGTTTTTAGATGAAGTTATTTCCTTTACTACAGTAGGCCTCAAAGCAGTCCAAATCTCCAATCGCAGATTCTACAAAAAGATTGTTTACAACCTGCTCTACCTATAGGAATGTTCAACTCTGTGAGTCGAATGCAATCATCACAAAGTAGTTTCTGAGAATGCTTCCATCTAGTTTTTATGTGAAGATTTTCCTTTTCCACCACAGGCCTCAAAGCCCTCCAAATGTCCACTTGCAGATTCTAGAATAAGAGGGTTTCAGAGCTGCTCTGTCAAGAGGAAAGTTCAATTCCTGAAGTGGAACACAAACATCACAAAGCAGTTTCTGAGAATGCTTCTGTTTAGTTTTTCTGTGAAGATGAACCCGTTTCCAACGAAATCTTCACAGAGGTCCACATATCCACTTGCAGAATCCAAAGAAAGAGAGTTTCAAAACTGCTCCATCAGCAGGATTGTTCACCTCTGTGAGTTGAATGCAGTCATCACAGGAAACATTCTGAGAATGCTTCTGTCTAGGTTTGATGTGAAGATATACCCGTTTTCGAAGGAAGGCCACAAAGTGGTCCAAATATCCACTTGCAGATTCTACAAAAAGAGTGTTTGAAAGCTGAACTATGAAAGCAAGGTTCAACTCTGTGAGTTGAATGCAAACATCACAAAGAAGTTTCTCAGCATGCTTCCGTGTAGTTCTGGGAAGTTTATCCCGTTTCCAACGAAATCCTCAGAGAAGTCCAAATATCCACTTGCAGATTCTACAGAAAGTGGGTTTGGAAACTGCTCCATCTAAAGGAATGTTCAGCTCTGTTAGTTCAATCCAATGATCACTAAGAATTGTCTGTGAATGCTTCCATTTGGTTTTTAGATGAAGTTATTTCCTTTACTACAGTAGGCCTCAAAGCAGTCCAAATCTCCAATCGCAGATTCTACAAAAAGATTGTTTACAACCTGCTCTATCTATAGGAATGTTCAACTCTGTGAGTCGAATGCAATCATCACAAAATAGTTTCTGAGAATGCTTCCATCTAGTTTTTATGGGAAGATTTTCCTTTTCCACCACAGGCCTCAAAGCCCTCCAAATGTCCACTTGCAGATTCTAGAAAAAGAGGGTTTCAGAGCTGCTCTTTCAAGAGGAAAGTTCAATTCCTGAAGAGGAACACAAACATCACAAAGCTGTTTCTGAGAATGCTTCTGTTTAGTTTTTCTGTGAAGATGAACCCGTTTCCAACGAAATCTTCACAGAGGTCCACATATCCACTTGCAGAATCCAAAGAAAGAGAGTTTCAAAACTGCTCCATCAGCAGGATTGTTCACCTCTGTGAGTTGAATGCAGTCATCACAGGAAACATTCTGAGAATGCTTCTGTCTAGGTTTGATGTGAAGATATACCCGTTTCGAAGGAAGGCCACAAAGTGGTCCAAATATCCACTTGCAGATTCTACAAAAAGAGTGTTTGAAAGCTGAACTATGAAAGCAAGGTTCAACTCTGTGAGTTGAATGCAAACATCACAAAGAAGTTTCTCAGAATGCTTCCGTGTAGTTCTGGGAAGTTTATCCCGTTTCCAACGAAATCCTCAGAGAGGTCCAAATATCCACTTGCAGATTCTACAGAAAGTGTGTTTGGAAACTGCTCCATCTAAAGGAATGTTCAGCTCTGTTAGTTCAATCCAATGATCACTAAGAATTGTCTGTGAATGCTTCCGTTTGGTTTTTAGATGAAGTTATTTCCTTTACTACAGTAGGCCTCAAAGCAGTCCAAATCTCCAATCGCAGATTCTACAAAAAGATTGTTTACAACCTGCTCTATCTATAGGAATATTCAACTCTGTGAGTCGAATGCAATCATCACAAAGTAGTTTCTGAGAATGCTTCCATCTAGTTTTTATGTGAAGATTTTCCTTTTCCACCACAGGCCTCAAAGCCCTCCAAATGTCCACTTGCAGATTCTAGAAAAAGAGGGTTTCAGAGCTGCTCTGTCAAGAGGAAAGTTCAATTCTTGAAGTGGAACACAAACATCACAAAGTAGTTTCTGAGAATGCTTCTGTTTAGTTTTTCTGTGTAAATGAACCCGTTTCCAACGAAATCTTCACAGAGGTCCACATATCAACTTGCAGAATCCAAAGAAAGAGAGTTTCAAAAGTGCCCCATCAACAGGATTGTTCACCTCTGTGAGTTGAATGCAGTCATCACAGGAAACATTCTGAGAATGCTTCTGTGTAGGTTTGATGTGAAGATATACCCGTTTCGAAGGAAGGCCACAAAGTGGTCCAAATATCCACTTGCAGATTCTACAAAAAGAGTGTTTGAAAGCTGAACTATGAAAGCAAGGTTCAACTCTGTGAGTTGAATGCAAACATCACAAAGAAGTTTCTCAGAATGCTTCCGTGTAGTTCTGGGAAGTTTATCCCTTTTCCAACGATATCCTCAGAGAGGTCCAAATATCCACTTGCAGATTCTACAGAAAGGGTGTTTGGAAACTGCGCCATCTAAAGCAATGTTGAGCTCTGTTAGTTCAATGCAATGATCACTAAGAATTGTCTGTGAATGCTTCCGTTTGGTTTTTAGATGAAGTTATTTCCTTTACTACAGTAGGCCTCAAAGTAGTCCAAATCTCCAATCGCAGATTCTACAAAAAGATTGTTTACAACCTGCTCTATCTATAGGAATGTTCAACTCTGTGAGTCGAATGCAATCATCACAAAGTAGTTTCTGAGAATGCTCCATCTAGTTTTTATGTGAAGATTTTCCTTTTCCACCACAGGCCTCAAAGCCCTCCAAATGTCCACTTGCAGATTCTAGAAAAAGAGGGTTTCAGAGCTGCTCTGTAAAGAGGAAAGTTCAATTCTTGAAGTGGAACACAAACATCACAAAGCAGTTTCTGAGAATGCTCTCTGTTTAGTTTTTCTGTGAAGATGAACCCGTTTCCAACGAAATCTTCACAGAGTTCCACATATCTACTTGCAGAATCCAAAGAAAGAGAGTTTCAAAAGTGCTCCATAAACAGGATTGTTCACCTCTGTGAGTTGAATGCAGTCATCACAGGAAACATTCTGAGAATGCTTCTGTCTAGGTTTGATGTGAAGATATACCCGTTTCGAAGGAAGGCCACAAAGTGGTCCAAATATCCACTTGCAGATTCTACAAAAAGAGTGTTTGAAAGCTGAACTATGAAAGCAAGGTTCAACTCTGTGAGTTGAATGCAAACATCACAAAGAAGTTTCTCAGAATGCTTCCGTGTAGTTCTGGGAAGTTTATCCCGTTTCCAACGAAATCCTCAGAGAAGTCCAAATATCCCCTTGCAGATTCTACAGAAAGTGGTTTTGGAAACTGCTCCATCTAAAGGAATGTTCAGCTCTGTTAGTTCAATCCAATGATCACTAAGAATTGTCTGTGAATGCTTCCGTTTGGTTTTTAGATGAAGTTATTTCCTTTACTACAGTAGGCCTCAAAGCAGTCCAAATCTCCAATCGCAGATTCTACAAAAAGATTGTTTACAACCTGCTCTATCTATAGGAATGTTCAACTCTGTGAGTCGAATGCAATCATCACAAAGTAGTTTCTGAGAATGCTTCCATCTAGTTTTTATGGGAAGATTTTCCTTTTCCACCACAGGCCTCAAAGCCCTCCAAATGTCCACTTGCAGATTCTAGAAAAAGAGGGTTTCAGAGCTGCTCTGTCAAGAGGAAAGTTCAATTCTTGAAGTGGAACACAAACATCACAAAGCAGTTTCTGAGAATGCTCCTGTTTAGTTTTTCTGTGAAGATGAACCCGTTTCCAACGAAATCTTCACAGAGTTCCACATATCCACTTGCAGAATCCAAAGAAAGGGAGTTTCAAAACTGCTCCATCAACAGGATTGTTCACCTCTGTGAGTTGAATGCAGTTATCACAGGAAACATTCTGAGAATGCTTCTGTCTAGGTTTGATGTGAAGATATACCCGTTTCGAAGGAAGGCCACAAAGTGGTCCAAATATCCACTTGCAGATTCTACAAAAAGAGTGTTTGAAAGCTGAACTATGAAAGCAAGGTTCAACTCTGTGAGTTGAATGCAAACATCACAAAGAAGTTTCTCACAATGCTTCCGTGTAGTTCTGGGAAGTTTATCCCTTTTCCAACGAAATCCTCAGAGAAGTCCAAATATCCACTTGCAGATTCTACAGAAAGTGTGTTTGGAAACTGCTCCATCTAAAGGAATGTTCAGCTCTGTTAGTTCAATGCAATGATCACTAAGAATTGTCTGTGAATGCTTCCGTTTGGTTTTTAGATGAAGTTATTTCCTTTACTACAGTAGGCCTCAAAGCAGTCCAAATCTCCAATCGCAGATTCTACAAAAAGATTGTTTACAACCTGCTCTATCTATAGGAATGTTCAACTCTGTGAGTCGAAAGCCATCATCACAAAGTAGTTTCTGAGAATGCTTCCATCTAGTTTTTATGTGAAGATTTTCCTTTTCCACCACAGGCCTCAAAGCCCTCCAAATGTCCACTTGCAGATTCTAGAAAAAGAGGGTTTCAGAGCTGCTCTGTGAAGAGGAAAGTTCAATTCCTGAAGTGGAACACAAACATCACAAAGCAGTTTCTGAGAATTCTTCTGTTTAGTTTTTCTGTGAAGATTAACACGTTTCCAACGAAATCTTCACAGAGGTCCAGATATCCACTTGCAGAATCCAAAGAAAGAGAGTTTCAAAACTGCTCCATCAGCAGGATTGTTCACCTCTGTGAGTTGAATGCAGTCATCATAGGAAACATTCTGAGAATGCTTCTGTCTAGGTTTGATGTGAAGATATACCCGTTTCGAAGGAAGGCCACAAAGTGGTCCAAATATCCACTTGCAGATTCTACAAAAAGAGTGTTTGAAAGCTGAACTATGAAAGCAAGGTTCAACTCTGTGAGTTGAATGCAAACATCACAAAGAAGTTTCTCAGAATGCTTCCGTGTAGTTCTGGGAAGTTTATCCCGTTTCCAACGAAATCCTCAGAGAGGTCCAAATATCCAGTTGCAGATTCTACAGAAAGTGTGTTTGGAATCTGCTCCATCTAAAGGAATGTTCAGCTCTGTTAGTTCAATCCAATGATCACTAAGAATTGTCTGTGAATGCTTCCGTTTGGTTTTTAGATGAAGTTATTTCCTTTACTACAGTAGGCCTCAAAGCAGTCCAAATCTCCAATCGCAGATTCTACAAAAAGATTGTTTTCAACCTGCTCTATCTATAGGAATGTTCAACTCTGTGAGTCGAATGCAATCATCACAAAGTAGTTTCTGAGAATGCTTCCATCTAGTTTTTATGTGAAGATTTTCCTTTTCCACCACAGGCCTCAAAGACCTCCAAATGTCCACTTGCAGATTCTAGAAAAAGAGGGTTTCAGAGCTGCTCTCTCAAGAGGAAAGCTCAATTCCTGAAGTGGAACACAAACATCAGAAAGCAGTTTCTGAGAATGCTCCTGTTTAGTTTTTCTGTGAAGTTGAACCCGTTTCCAACGAAACCTTCACAGAGGTCCACATATCCACTTGCAGAATCCAAAGAAAGAGAGTTTCAAAACTGCTCCATCAACAGGATTGTTCACCTCTGTGAGTTGAATGCAGTCATCACAGGAAACATTCTGAGAATGTTTCTGTCTAGGTTTGATGTGAAGATATACCCGTTTCGAAGGAAGGCCACAAAGTGGTCCAAATATCCACTTGCAGATTCTACAAAAAGAGTGTTTGAAAGCTGAACTGTGAAAGCAAGGTTCACCTCTGTGAGTTGAATGCAAACATCACAAAGAAGTTTCTCAGAATGCTTCCGTGTAGTTCTGGGAAGTTTATCCCGTTTCCAACGAAATCCTCAGAGAAGTCCAAATATCCACTTGCAGATTCTACAGAAAGTGGGTTTGGAAACTGCTCCATCTAAAGGAATGTTCAGCTCTGTTAGTTCAATCCAATGATCACTAAGAATTGTCTGTGAATGCTTCCGTTTGGTTTTTAGATGAAGTTATTTCCTTTACTACAGTAGGCCTCAAAGCAATCCAAATCTCCAATCGCAGATTCTACAAAAACATTGTTTACAACCTGCTCTATCTATAGGAATGTTCAACTCTGTGAGTCGAATGCAATCATCACAAAGTAGTTTCTGAGAATGCTTCCATCTAGTTTTTATGTGAAGATTTTCCTTTTCCACCACAGGCCCCAAAGCCCTCCAAATGTCCACTTGCAGATTCTAGAAAAAGAGGGTTTCAGAGCTGCTCTGTCAAGAGGAAAGTTCAATTCTTGAAGTGGAACACAAACATCACAAAGCAGTTTCTGAGAATGCTTCTGTTTACTTTTTCTGTGAAGATGAACCCGTTTCCAACGAAATCTTCACAGAGGTCCACATATCAACTTGCAGAATCCAAAGAAAGAGAGTTTCAAAAGTGCTCCATCAACAGGATTGTTCACCTCTGTGAGTTGAATGCAGTCATCACAGGAAACATTCTGAGAATGCTTCTGTCTAGGTTTGATGTGAAGATATACCCGTTTCCAAGGAAGGCCACAAAGTGGTCCAAATATCCACTTGCAGATTCTACAAAAGGAGTGTTTGAAAGCTGAACTATGAAAGCAAGGTTCAACTCTGTGAGTTGAATGCAAACATCACAAAGAAGTTTCTCACAATGCTTCCGTGTAGTTCTGGGAAGTTTATCCCGTTTCCAACGAAATCCTCAGAGAGGTCCAAATATCCACTTGCAGATTCTACAGAAAGTGTGTTTGGAAACTGCTCCATCTAAAGGAATGTTCAGCTCTGTTAGTTCAATCCAATGATCACTAAGAATTGTCTGTGAATGCTTCCGTTTGGTTTTTAGATGAAGTTATTTCCTTTACTACAGTAGGCCTCAAAGCAGTCCAAATCTCCAATCGCAGATTCTACAAAAAGATTGTTTACAACCTGCTCTATCTATAGGAATGTTCAACTCTGTGAGTCGAATGCAATCATCACAAAGTAGTTTCTGAGAATGCTTCCATCTAATTTTTATGTGAAGATTTTCCTTTTCCACCACAGGCCTCAAAGCCCTCCAAATGTCCACTTGCAGATTCTAGAAAAAGAGGGTTTCAGAGCTGCTCTGTCAAGAGGAAAGTTCAATTCTTGAAGTGGAACACAAACATCACAAAGCAGTTTCTGAGAATGCTCCTGTTTAGTTTTTCTGTGAAGATGAACCCGTTTCCAACGAAATCTGCACAGAGGTCCACATATCCACTTGCAGAATCCAAAGAAAGAGAGTTTCAAAACTGCTCCATCAGCAGGATTGTTCACCTCCGTGAGTTGAATGCAGTCATCACAGGAAACATTCTGAGAATGCTTCTGTCTAGGTTTGATGTGAAGATATACCCGTTTCGAAGGAAGGCCACAAAGTGGTCCAAATATCCACTTGCAGATTCTACAAAAAGAGTGTTTGAAAGCTGAACTATGAAAGCAAGGTTCAACTCTGTGAGTTGAATGCAAACATCACAAAGAAGTTTCTCACAATGCTTCCGTGTAGTTCTGGGAAGTTTATCCCGTTTCCAACGAAATCCTCAGAGAGGTCCAAATATCCACTTGCAGATTCTACAGAAAGTGTGTTTGGAAACTGCTCCATCTAAAGGAATGTTCAGCTCTGTTAGTTCAATCCAATGATCACTAAGAATTGTCTGTGAATGCTTCCGTTTGGTTTTTAGATGAAGTTATTTCCTTTACTACAGTAGGCCTCAGAGCAGTCGAAATCTCCAATCGCAGATTCTACAAAAAGATTGTTTACAACCTGCTCTATCTATAGGAATGTTCAACTCTGTGAGTCGAATGCAATCATCACAAAGTAGTTTCTGAGAATGCTTCCATCTAGTTTTTATGTGAAGATTTTCCTTTTCCACCACAGGCCTCAAAGCCCTCCAAATGTCCACTTGCAGATTCTAGAATAAGAGGGTTTCAGAGCTGCTCTGTCAAGAGGAAAGTTCAATTCCTGAAGTGGAACACAAACATCACAAAGCAGTTTCTGAGAATGCTCCTGTTTAGTTTTTTTGTGAAGATGAACCCGTTTCCAACGAAATCTTCACAGAGGTCCACATATCCACTTGCAGAATCCAAAGAAAGAGAGTTTCAAAACTGCTCCATCAGCAGGATTGTTCACCTCTGTGAGTTGAATGCAGTCATCACAGGAAACATTCTGAGAATGCTTCTGTCTAGGTTTGATGTGAAGATATACCCGTTTCGAAGGAAGACCACAAAGTGGTCCAAATATCCACTTGCAGATTCTACAAAAAGAGTGTTTGAAAGCTGAACTATGAAAGCAAGGTTCAACTCTGTGAGTTGAATGCAAACATCACAAAGAAGTTTCTCAGAATGCTTCCGTGTAGTTTCGGGAAGTTTATCCCTTTTCCAACGATATCCTCAGAGAGGTCCAAATATCCACTTGCAGATTCTACAGAAAGTGTGTTTGGAAACTGCGCCATCTAAAGGAATGTTCAGCTCTGTTAGTTCAATCCAATGATCACTAAGAATTGTCTGTGAATGCTTCCGTTTGGTTTTTAGATGAAGTTATTTCCTTTACTACAGTAGGCCTCAAAGCAGTCCAAATCTCCAATCGCAGATTCTACAAAAAGATTGTTTACAACCTGCTCTATCTATAGGAATGTTCAACTCTGTGAGTCGAATGCAATCATCACAAAGTAGTTTCTGAGAATGCTTCCATCTAGTTTTTATGTGAAGATTTTCCTTTTCCACCACAGGCCTCAAAGCCCTCCAAATGTCCACTTGCAGATTCTAGAATAAGAGGGTTGCAGAGCTGCTCTGTCAAGAGGAAAGTTCAATTCCTGAAGTGGAACACAAACATCACAAAGCAGTTTCTGAGAATGCTTCTGTTTAGTTTTTCTGTGAAGATGAACCCGTTTCCAACGAAATCTTCACAGAGGTCCACATATCCACTTGCAGAATCCAAAGAAGGAGAGTTTCAAAACTGCTCCATCAGCAGGATTGTTCACCTCTGTGAGTTGAATGCAGTCATCACAGGAAACATTCTGAGAATGCTTCTGTCTAGGTTTGATGTGAAGATATACCCGTTTCGAAGGAAGGCCACAAAGTGGTCCAAATATCCACTTGCAGATTCTACAAAAAGAGTGTTTGAAAGCTGAACTATGAAAGCAAGGTTCAACTCTGTGAGTTGAATGCAAACATCACAAAGAAGTTTCTCACAATGCTTCCGTGTAGTTCTGGGAAGTTTATCCCGTTTCCAACGAAATCCTCAGAGAAGTCCA
Source organism: Homo sapiens (assembly GCF_000001405.40). Lineage (NCBI taxonomy): Eukaryota > Metazoa > Chordata > Mammalia > Primates > Hominidae > Homo > Homo sapiens. The sequence goes on along the minus strand of NC_000011.10, from coordinate 53,404,483 downwards.
AATATCCACTTGCAGATTCTACAGAAAGTGTGTTTGGAAAATGCTCCATCTAAAGGAATGTTCAGCTCTGTTAGTTCAATGCAATGATCACTAAGAATTGTCTGTGAATGCTTCCGTTTGGTTTTTAGATGAAGTTATTTCCTTTACTACAGTAGGCCTCAAAGCAGTCCAAATCTCCAATCGCAGATTCTACAAAAAGATTGTTTACAACCTGCTCTATCTATAGGAATGTTCAACTCTGTGAGTCGAATGCAATCATCACAAAGTAGTTTCTGAGAATGCTTCCATCTAGTTTTTATGTGAAGATTTTCCTTTTCCACCACAGGCCTCAAAGCCCTCCAAATGTCCACTTGCAGATTCTAGAAAAAGAGGGTTTCAGAGCTGCTCTGTCAAGAGGAAAGTTCAATTCTTGAAGTGGAACACAAACATCGCAAAGCAGTTTCTGAGAATGCTTCTGTTTAGTTTTTCTGTGAAGATGAACCCGTTTCCAACGAAATCTTCACAGAGGTCCACACATCCACTTGCAGAATCCAAAGAAAGAGAGTTTCAAAACTGCTCCATCAGCAGGATTGTTCAACTCTGTGAGATGAATGCAGTCATCACAGGAAACATTCTGAGAATGCTTCTGTCTAGGTTTGATGTGAAGATATACCCGTTTCGAAGGAAGGCCACAAAGTGGTCCAAATATCCACTTGCAGATTCTACAAAAAGAGTGTTTGAAAGCTGAACTATAAAAGCAAGGTTCAACTCTGTGAGTTGAATGCAAACATCACAAAGAAGTTTCTCAGAATGCTTCCGTGTAGTTCTGGGAAGTTTATCCCGTTTCCAACGAAATCCTCAGAGAAGTCCAAATATCCACTTGCAGATTCTACAGAAAGTGTGTTTGGAAACTGCTCCATCTAAAGGAATGTTCAGCTCTGTTAGTTCAATCCAATGATCACTAAGAATTGTCTGTGAATGCTTCCGTTTGGTTTTTAGATGAAGTTATTTCCTTTACTACAGTAGGCCTCAAAGCAGTCCAAATCTCCAATCGCAGATTCTACAAAAAGATTGTTTACAACCTGCTCTATCTATAGGAATGTTCAACTCTGTGAGTCGAATGCAATCATCCCAAAGTAGTTTCTGAGAATGCTTCCATCTAGTTTTTATGTGAAGATTTTCCTTTTCCACCACAGGCCTCAAAGCCCTCCAAATGTCCACTTGCAGATTCTAGAAAAAGAGGGTTTCAGAGCTGCTCTGTCAAGAGGAAAGTTCAATTCTTGAAGTGGAACACAAACATCACAAAGCAGTTTCTGAGAATGCTTCTGTTTAGTTTTTCTGTGAAGAAGAACCCGTTTCCAACGAAATCTTCACAGAGGTCCACATATCCACTTGCAGAATCCAAAGAAAGAGAGTTTCAAAACTGCTCCATCAGCAGGATTGTTCACCTCTGTGAGTTGAATGCAGTCATCACAGGAAACATTCTGAGAATGCTTCTGTCTAGGTTTGATGTGAAGATATACCCGTTTCGAAGGAAGGCAACAAAGTGGTCCAAATATCCACTTGCAGATTCTACAAAAAGAGTGTTTGAAAGCTGAACTATGAAAGCAAGGTTCAACTCTGTGAGTTGAATGCAAACATAACAAAGAAGTTTCTCAGAATGCTTCCATGTAGTTCTGGGAAGTTTAGCCCGTTTCCAACGAAATCCTCAGAGAGGTCCAAATATCCACTTGCAGATTCTACAGAAAGTGTGTTTGGAAACTGCTCCATCTAAAGGAATGTTCAGCTCTGTTAGTTCAATCCAATGATCACTAAGAATTGTCTGTGAATGCTTCCGTTTGGTTTTTAGATGAAGTTATTTCCTTTACTACAGTAGGACTCAAAGCAGTCCAAATCTCCAATCGCAGATTCTACAAAAAGATTGTTTACAACCTGCTCTATCTATAGGAATGTTCAACTCTGTGAGTCGAATGCAATCATCACAAAGTAGTTTCTGAGAATGCTTCCATCTAGTTTTTATGTGAAGATTTTCCTTTTCCACCACAGGCCTCAAAGCCCTCCAAATGTCCACTTGCAGATTCTAGAAAAAGAGGGTTTCAGAGCTGCTCTGTCAAGAGGAAAGTTCAATTCCTGAAGTGGAACACAAACATCACAAAGCAGTTTCCTGAGAATGATCCTGTTTAGTTTTTCCGTGAAGCATGAACCCGTTTCCAACGAAATCTTCACAGAGGTCCACATATCCACTTGCAGAATCCAAAGAAAGAGAGTTTCAAAACTGCTCCATCAGCAGGATTGTTCACCTCTGTGAGTTGAATGCAGTCATCACAGGAAACATTCTGAGAATGCTTCTGTCTAGGTTTGATGTGAAGATATACCCGTTTCGAAGGAAGGCCACAAAGTGGTCCAAATATCCACTTGCAGATTCTACAAAAAGAGTGTTTGAAAGCTGAACTATGAAAGCAAGGTTCAACTCTGTGAGTTGAATGCAAACATCACAAAGAAGTTTCTCACAATGCTTCCGTGTACTTCTGGGAAGTTTATCCCGTTTCCAACGAAATCCTCAGAGAAGTCCAAATATCCACTTGCAGATTCTACAGAAAGTGTGTTTGGAAACTGCGCCATCTAAAGGAAGTTCAGCTCTGTTAGTTCAATCCAATGATCACTAAGAATTGTCTGTGAATGCTTCCGTTTGGTTTTTAGATGAAGTTATTTCCTTTACTACAGTAGGCCTCAAAGCAGTCCAAATCTCCAATCGCAGATTCTACAAAAAGATTGTTTACAACCTGCTCTATCTATAGGAATGTTCAACTATGTGAGTCGAATGCAATCATCACAAAGTAGTTTCTGAGAATGCTTCCATCTAGTTTTTATGTGAAGATTTTCCTTTTCCACCACAGGCCTCAAAGCCCTCCAAATGTCCACTTGCAAATTCTAGAAAAAGAGGGTTTCAGAGCTGCTCTGTCCAAGAGGAAAGTTCAATTCTTGAAGTGGAACACAAACATCACAAAGCAGTTTCTGAGAATGCTCCTGTTTAGTTTTTCTGTGAAGATAAACCCGTTTCCAACGAAATCTTCACAGAGGTCCACATATCCACTTGCAGAATCCAAAGAAAGAGAGTTTCAAAACTGCTCCATCAGCAGGATTGTTCACCTCTGTGAGTTGAATGCAGTCATCACAGGAAACATTCCGAGAATGCTTCTGTCTAGGTTTGATGTGAAGATATACCCGTTTCGAAGGAAGGCCACAAATTGGTCCAAATATCCACTTTCAGATTCTACAAAAAGAGTGTTTGAAAGCTGAACTATGAAAGCAAGGTTCAACTCTGTGAGTTGAATGCAAACATCACAAAGAAGTTTCTCAGAATGCTTCCGTGTATTTCTGGGAAGTTTACCCCGTTTCCAACGAAATCCTCAGAGAGGTCCAAATATCCACTTGCAGATTCTACAGAAAGTGTGTTTGGAAAATGCTCCATCTAAAGGAATGTTCAGCTCTGTTAGTTCAATCCAATGATCACTAAGAATTGTCTGTGAATGCTTCCGTTTGGTTTTTAGATGAAGTTATTTCCTTTACTACAGTAGGCCTCAAAGCAGTCCAAATCTCCAATCTCAGATTCTACAAAAAGATTGTTTACAACCTGCTCTATCTTTAGGAATGTTCAACTCTGTGAGTCGAATGCAATCATCACAAAGTAGTTTCTGAGAATGCTTCCATCTAGTTTTTATGTGAAGATTTTCCTTTTCCACCACAGGCCTCAAAGCCCTCCAAATGTCCACTTGCAGATTCTAGAATAAGAGGGTTTTAGAGCTGCTCTGTCAAGAGGAAAGTTCAATTCCTGAAGTGGAACACAAACATCACAAAGCAGTTTCTGAGAATGCTTCTGTTTAAGTTTTTCTGTGAAGATGAACCCGTTTCCAACGAAATCTTCACAGAGGTCCACATATCCACTTGCTAGAATCCAAAGAAAGAGAGTTTCAAAACTGCTCCATCAGCAGGATTGTTCACCTCTGTGAGTTGAATGCAGTCATCACAGGAAACATTATGAGAATGCTTCTGTCTAGGTTTGATGTGAAGATATACCCGTTTCGAAGGAAGGCCACAAAGTGGTCCAAATATCCACTTGCAGATTCTACAAAAAGAGTGTTTGAAAGCTGAACTATGAAAGCAAGGTTCAACTCTGTGAGTTGAATGCAAACATCACAAAGAAGTTTCTCACAATGCTTTCGTGTAGTTCTGGGAAGTTTATCCCGTTTCCAACGAAATCCTCAGAGAGGTCCAAATATCCACTTGCAGATTCTACAGAAAGTGTGTTTGGAAACTGCTCCATCTAAAGGAATGTTCAGCTCTGTTAGTTCAATCCAATGATCACTAAGAACTGTCTGTGAATGCTTCCGTTTGGTTTTTAGATGAAGTTATTTCCTTTACTACAGTAGGCCTCAAAGCAGTCCAAATCTCCAATCGCAGATTCTACAAAAAGATTGTTTACAACCTGCTCTATCTATAGGAATGTTCAACTCTGTGAGTCGAATGCAATCATCACAAAGTAGTTTCTGAGAATGCTTCCATCTAGTTTTTATGTGAAGATTTTCCTTTTCCACCACAGGCCTCAAAGCCCTCCAAATGTCCACTTGCAGATTCTAGAATAAGAGGGTTTCAGAGCTGCTCTGTCAAGAGGAAAGTTCAATTCCTGAAGTGGAACACAAACATCACAAAGCAGTTTCTGAGAATGCTCCTGTTTAGTTTTTCTGTGAAGATGAACCCGTTTCCAACGAAATCTTCACAGAGGTCCACATATCCACTTGCAGAATCCAAAGAAAGAGAGTTTCAAAACTGCTCCAACAGCAGGATTGTTCACCTCTGTGAGTTGAATGCAGTCATCACAGGAAACATTCTGAGAATGCTTCTGTCTAGGTTTGATGTGAAGATATACCCGTTTCGAAGGAAGGCCACAAAGTGGTCCAAATATCCACTTGCAGATTCTACAAAAAGAGTGTTTGAAAGCTGAACTATGAAAGCAAGGTTCAACTCTGTGAGTTGAATGCAAACATCACAAAGAAGTTTCTCAGAATACTTCCGTGTAGTTCTGGGAAGTTTATCCCGTTTCCAACGAAATCCTCAGAGAAGTCCAAATATCCACTTGCAGATTCTACACAAAGTGTGTTTGGAAACAGCGCCATCTAAAGGAGTGTTCAGCTCTGTTAGTTCAATCCAATGATCACTAAGAATTGTCTGTGAATGCTTCCGTTTGGTTTTTAGATGAAGTTATTTCCTTTACTACAGTAGGCCTCAAAGCAGTCCAAATCTTCAATCTCAGATTCTACAAAAAGATTGTTTACAACCTGCTCTATCTATAGGAATGTTCAACTCTGTGAGTCGAATGCAATCATCACAAAGTAGTTTCTGAGAATGCTTCTATCTAGGTTTTATGTGAAGATATTTCCTTTTCCACCACAGGCCTCAAAGCCCTCCAAATGTCCACTTGCTGATTCTAGAATAAGAGGGTTTCAGAGCTGTTCTGTCAAGAGGAAAGTTCAATTCTTGAAGTGGAACACAAACATCACAAAGCAGTTTCTGAGAATGCTTCTGTTTAGTTTTTCTGTGAAGATGAACCCGTTTCCAACGAAATCTTCACAGAGGTCCACATATCCACTTGCAGAATCCAAAGAAAGAGAGTTTCAAAACTGCTCCATCAGCAGGATTGTTCAACTCTGTGAGTTGAATGCAGTCATCACAGGAAACATTCTGAGAATGCTTCTGTCTAGGTTTGATGTGAAGATATACCCGTTTCGAAGGAAGGCCACAAAGTGGTCCAAATATCCACTTGCAGATTCTACAAAAGGAGTGTTTGAAAGCTGAACTATGAAAGCAAGGTTCAACTGCTGTGAGTTGAATGCAAACATCACAAAGAAGTTTCTCAGAATGCTTCCGTGTAGTTCTGGGAAGTTTATCCCGTTTCCAAAGAAATCCTCAGAGAGGTCCAAATATCCACTTGGAGATTCTACAGAAAGTGGGTTTGGAAACTGCTCCATCTAAAGGAATGTTCAGATCTGTTAGTTCAATCCAATGATCACTAAGAATTGTCTGTGAATGCTTCCGTTTGGTTTTTAGATGAAGTTATTTCCTTTACTACAGTAGGCCTCAAAGCAGTCCAAATCTCCAATCGCAGATTCTACAAAAAGATTGTTTACAACCTGCTCTATCTATAGGAATGTTCAACTCTGTGAGTCGAATGCAATCATCACAAAGTAGTTTCTGAGAATGCTTCCATCTAGTTTTTATGTGAAGATTTTCCTTTTCCACCACAGGCCTCAAAGCCCTCCAAATGTCCACTTGCAGATTCTAGAAAAAGAGGGTTTCAGAGCTGCTCTGTCAAGAGGAAAGTTCAATTCTTGAAGTGGAACACAAACATCACAAAGCAGTTTCTGAGAATGTTCCTGTTTAGTTTTTCTGTGAAGATGAACCCGTTTCCAACGAAATCTTCACAGAGGTCCACATATCCACTTGCAGAATCCAAAGAAAGAGATTTTCAAAACCTCTCCATCAGCAGGATTGTTCACCTCTGTGAGTTGAATGCAGTCATCACAGGAAACATTCTGAGAATGCTTCTGTCTAGGTTTGATGTGAAGATATACCCGTTTCGAAGGAAGGCCACAAAGTGGTCCAAATATCCACTTGCAGATTCTACAAAAAGAGTGTTTGAAAGCTGAACTATGAAAGCAAGGTTCAACTCTGTGAGTTGAATGCAAACATCACAAAGAAGTTTCTCAGAATGCTTCCGTGTAGTTCTGGGAAGTTTATCCCGTTTCCAACGAAATCCTCAGAGAGGTCCAAATATCCACTTGCAGATTCTACAGAAAGTGTGTTTGGAAACTGCTCCATCTAAAGGAATGTTCAGCTCTGTTAGTTCAATGCAATGATCACTATGAATTGTCTGTGAATGCTTCCGTTTGGTTTTTAGATGAAGTTATTTCCTTTACTACAGTAGGCCTCAAAGCAGTCCAAATCTCCAATCGCAGATTCTACAAAAAGATTGTTTACAACCTGCTCTATCTATAGGAATGTTCAACTCTGTGAGTCGAATGCCATCATCACAAAGTAGTTTCTGAGAATGCTTCCATCTAGTTTTTATGTGAAGATTTTCCTTTTCCACCACAGGCCTCAAAGCCCTCCAAATGTCCACTTGCAGATTCTAGAAAAAGAGGGTTTCAGAGCTGCTCTGTCAAGAGGAAATTTCAATTCTTGAAGTGGAACACAAACATCACAAAGCAGTTTCTGAGAATGCTTCTGTTTAGTTTTTCTGTGAAGATGAACCCGTTTCCAACGAAATCTTCACAGAGGTCCACATATCCACTTGCAGAATCCAAAGAAAGAGAGTTTCAAAACTGCTCCATCAGCAGGATTGTTCACCTCTGTGAGTTGAATGCAGTCATCACAGGAAACATTCTGAGAATGCTTCTGTCTAGGTTTGATGTGAAGATATACCCTTTTCAAAGGAAGGCCACAAAGTGGTCCAAATATCCACTTGCAGATTCTACAAAAAGAGTGTTTGAAAGCTGAACTATGAAAGCAAGGTTCAACTCTGTGAGTTGAATGCAAACATCACAAAGAAGTTTCTCACAATGCTTCCGTGTAGTTCTGGGAAGTTTATCACATTTCCAACGAAATCCTCAGAGAGGTCCAAATATCCACATGCAGATTCTACAGAAAGTGTGTTTGGAAACTGTGCCATCTAAAGGAATGTTCAGCTCTGTTAGTTCAATCCAATGATCACTAAGAATTGTCTGTGAATGCTTCCGTTTGGTTTTTAGATGAAGTTATTTCCTTTACTACAGTAGGCCTCAAAGCAGTCCAAATCTCCAATCGCAGATTCTACAAAAAGATTGTTTACAACCTGCTCTATCTATAGGAATGTTCAACTCTGTGAGTCGAATGCAATCATCACAAAGTAGTTTCTGAGAATGCTTCCATCTAGTTTTTATGTGAAGATTTTCCTTTTCCACCACAGGCCTCAAAGCCCTCCAAATGTCCACTTGCAGATTCTAGAAAAAGAGGGTTTCAGAGCTGCTCTGTCAAGAGGAAAGTTCAATTCTTGAAGTGGAACACAAACATCACAAAGTAGTTTCTGAGAATGCTCCTGTTTAGTTTTTCTGTGAAGATGAACCCGTTTCCAACGAAATCTTCACAGAGGTCCACATATCCACTTGCAGAATCCAAAGAAAGAGAGTTTCAAAACTGGTCCATCAGCAGGATTGTTCACCTCTGTGAGTTGAATGCAGTCATCACAGGAAACATTCTGAGAATGCTTCTGTCTAGGTTTGATGTGAAGATATACCCGTTTCGAAGGAAGGCCCCAAAGTGGTCCAAATATCCACTTGCAGATTCTACAAAAAGAGTGTTTGAAAGCTGAACCATGAAAGCAAGGTTCAACTCTGTGAGTTGAATGCAAACATCACAAAGAAGTTTCTCAGAATGCTTCCATGTAGTTCTGGGAAGTTTAGCCCGTTTCCAACGAAATCCTCAGAGAGGTCCAAATATCCACTTGCAGATTCTACAGAAAGTGTGTTGGGAAACTGTGCCATCTAAAGGAATGTTCAGCTCTGTTAGTTCAATCCAATGATCACTAAGAATTTTCTGTGAATGCTTCCGTTTGGTTTTTAGATGAAGTTATTTCCTTTACTACAGTAGGCCTCAAAGCAGTCCAAATCTCCAATCGCAGATTCTACAAAAAGATTGTTTACAACCTGCTCTATGTATAGGAATGTTCAACTCTGTGAGTCGAATGCAATCATCACAAAGTAGTTTCTGAGAATGCTTCCATCTAGTTTTTATGTGAAGATTTTCCTTTTCCACCACAGGCCTCAAATCCCTCCAAATGTCCACATGCAGATTCTAGAAAAAGAGGGTTTCAGAGCTGCTCTCTCAAGAGGAAAGTTCAATTCCTGAAGTGGAACACAAACATCACAAAGCAGTTTCTGAGAATGCTCCTGTTTAGTTTTTCTGTGAAGATGAACCCGTTTCCAACGAAATCTTCACAGAGGTCCACATATCCACTTGCAGAATCCAAAGAAAGAGAGTTTCAAAACTGCTCCAACAGCAGGATTGTTCACCTCTGTGAGTTGAATGCAGTCATCACAGGAAACATTCTGAGAATGCTTCTGTCTAGGTTTGATGTGAAGATATACCCGTTTCGAAGGAAGGCCACAAAGTGGTCCAAATATCCACTTGCAGATTCTACAAAAAGAGTGTTTGAAAGCTGAACTATGAAAGCAAGGTTCAACTCTGTGAGTTGAATGCAAACATCACAAAGAAGTTTCTCACAATGCTTCCGTGTAGTTCTGGGAAGTTTATCCCGTTTCCAACGAAATCCTCAGAGAGGTCCAAATATCCACTTGCAGATTCTACAGAAAGTGTGTTTGGAAACTGCTCCATCTAAAGGAATGTTCAGCTCTGTTAGTTCAATGCAATGATCACTAAGAATTGTGCTGTGAATGCTTCCGTTTGGTTTTTAGATGAAGTTATTTCCTTTACTACAGTAGGCCTCAAAGCAGTCCAAATCTCCAATCGCAGATTCTACAAAAAGATTGTTTACAACCTGCTCTATCTATAGGAATGTTCAACTCTGTGAGTCGAATGCAATCATCACAAAGTAGTTTCTGAGAATGCTTCCATCTAGTTTTTATGGGAAGATTTTCCTTTTCCACCACAGGCCTCAAAGCCCTCCAAATGTCCACTTGCAGATTCTAGAAAAAGAGGGTTTCAGAGCTGCTCTGTCAAGAGGAAAGTTCAATTCTTGAAGTGGAACACAAACATCACAAAGCAGTTTCTGAGAATGCTCCTGTTTAGTTTTTCTGTGAAGATGAACCCGTTTCCAACGAAATCTTCACAGAGGTCCACATATCCACTTGCAGAATCCAAAGAAAGAGAGTTTCAAAACTGCTCCATCAGCAGGATTGTTCACCTCTGTGAGTTGAATGCAGTCATCACAGGAAACATTCTGAGAATGCTTCTGTCTAGGTTTGATGTGAAGATATACCCGTTTCGAAGGAAGGCCACAAAGTGGTCCAAATATCCTCTTGCAGATTCTACAAAAAGAGTGTTTGAAAGCTGAACTATGAAAGCAAGGTTCAACTCTGTGAGTTGAATGCAAACATCACAAAGAAGTTTCTCAGAATGCTTCCGTGTAGTTCTGGGAAGTTTATCCCGTTTCCAACGAAATCCTCAGAGAGGTCCAAATATCCACTTGCAGATTCTACAGAAAGTGTGTTTGGAAACTGCGCCATCTAAAGGAATGTTCAGCTCTGTTAGTTCAATGCAATGATCACTAAGAATTGTCTGTGAATGCTTCCGTTTGGTTTTTAGATGAAGTTATTTCCTTTACTACAGTAGGCCTCAAAGCAGTCCAAATCTCCAATCGCAGATTCTACAAAAAGATTGTTTACAACCTGCTCTATCTATAGGAATGTTCAACTCTGTGAGTCGAATGCAATCATCACAAAGTAGTTTCTGAGAATGCTTCCATCTAGTTTTTATGTGAAGATTTTCCTTTTCCACCACAGGCCTCAAAGCCCTCCAAATGTCCACTTGCAGATTCTAGAAAAAGAGGGTTTCAGAGCTGCTCTGTCAAGAGGAAAGTTCAATTCTTGAAGTGGAACACAAACATCACAAAGCAGTTTCTGAGAATGCTTCTGTTTAGTTTTTCTGTGAAGATGAACCCGTTTCCAACGAAATCTTCACAGAGGTCCACATATCAACTTGCAGAATCCAAAGAAAGAGAGTTTCAAAAGTGCTCCATCAACAGGATTGTTCACCTCTGTGAGTTGAATGCAGTCATCACAGGAAACATTCTGAGAATGCTTCTGTCTAGGTGTGATGTGAAGATATACCCGTTTCGAAGGAAGGCCACAAAGTGGTCCAAATATCCACTTGCAGATTCTACAAAAAGAGTGTTTGAAAGCTGAACTATGAAAACAAGGTTCAACTCTGTGAGTTGAATGCAAACATCACAAAGAAGTTTCTCAGAATGCTTCCCTGTAGTTCTGGGAAGTTTATCCCGTTTCCAACGAAATCCTCAGAGAAGTCCAAATATCCACTTGCAGATTCTACAGAAAGTGTGTTTGGAAACTGCTCCATCTAAAGGAATGTTCAGCTCTGTTAGTTCAATCCAATGATCACTAAGAATTGTCTGTGAATGCTTCCGTTTGGTTTTTAGATGAAGTTATTTCCTTTACTACAGTAGGCCTCAAAGCAGTCCAAATCTCCAATCGCAGATTCTACAAAAAGATTGTTTACAACCTGCTCTATCTATAGGAATGTTCAACTCTGTGAGTCGAAAGCCATCATCACAAAGTAGTTTCTGAGAATGCTTCCATCTAGTTTTTATGTGAAGATTTTCCTTTTCCACCACAGGCCTCAAAGCCCTCCAAATGTCCACTTGCAGACTCTAGAAAAAGAGGGTTTCAGAGCTGCTCTGTCAAGAGGAAAGTTCAATTCTTGAAGTGGAACACAAACAACACAAAGCAGTTTCTGAGAATGCTTCTGTTTAGTTTTTCTGTGAAGATGAACCCGTTTCCAACGAAATCTTCACAGAGGTCCACATATCCACTTGCAGAATCCAAAGAAAGAGAGTTTCAAAACTGCTCCATCAGCAGGATTGTTCACCTCTGTGAGTTGAATGCAGTCATCACAGGAAACATTCTGAGAATGCTTCTGTCTAGGTTTGATGTGAAGATATACCCGTTTCGAAGGAAGGCCACAAAGTGGTCCAAATATCCACTTGCAGATTCTACAAAAAGAGTGTTTGAAAGCTGAACTATGAAAGCAAGGTTCAACTCTGTGAGTTGAATGCAAACATCACAAAGAAGTTTCTCAGAATACTTCCGTGTAGTTCTGGGAAGTTTATCCCGTTTCCAACGAAATCCTCAGAGAGGTCCAAATATCCACTTGCAGATTCTACAGAAAGTGTGTTTGGAAACTGCGCCATCTAAAGGAATGTTCAGCAATGTTAGTTCAATCCAATGATCACTAAGAATTGTCTGTGAATGCTTCCATTTGGTTTTTAGATGAAGTTATTTCCTTTACTACAGTAGGCCTCAAAGCAGTCCAAATCTCCAATCGCAGATTCTACAAAAAGATTGTTTACAACCTGCTCTATCTATAGGAATGTTCAACTCTGTGAGTCCAATGCAATCATCACAAAGTAGTTTCTGAGAATGCTTCCATCTAGTTTTTATGTGAAGATTTTCCTTTTCCACCACAGGCCTCAAAGCCCTCCAAATGTCCACTTGCAGATTCTAGAAAAAGAGGGTTTCAGAGCTGCTCTGTCAAGAGGAATGTTCAATTCCTGAAGTGGAACACAAACATCACAAAGCATTTCTGAGAATGCTCCTGTTTAGTTTTTCTGTGAAGATGAACCCGTTTCCAACGAAATCTTCAAAGAGGTTCACATATCCACTTGCAGAATCCAAAGAAAGAGAGTTTCAAAACTGCTCCATCAGCAGGATTGTTCACCTCTGTGAGTTGAATGCAGTCATCACAGGAAACATTCTGAGAATGCTTCTGTCTAGGTTTGATGTGAAGATATACCCGTTTCGAAGGAAGGCCACAAAGTGGTCCAAATATCCACTTGCAGATTCTACAAAAAGAGTGTTTGAAAGCTGAACTATGAAAGCAAGGTTCAACTCTGTGAGTTGAATGCAAACATCACAAAGAAGTTTCTCAGCATGCTTCCGTGTAGTTCTGGGAAGTTTATCCCGTTTCCAACGAAATTCTCAGAGAGGTCCAAATATCCACTTGCAGATTCTACAGAAAGTGTGTTTGGAAACTGCGCCATCTAAAGCAATGTTCAGCTCTGTTAGTTCAATGCAATGATCACTAAGAATTGTCTGTGAATGCTTCCGTTTCGTTTTTAGATGAAGTTATTTCCTTTACTACAGTAGGCCTCAAAGCAGTCCAAATCTCCAATCGCAGATTCTACAAAAAGATTGTTTACAACCTGCTCTATCTATAGGAATGTTCAACTCTGTGAGTCGAATGCAATCATCACAAAGTAGTTTCTGAGAATGCTTCCATCTAGTTTTTATGTGAAGATTTTCCTTTTCCACCACAGGCTTCAAAGCCCTCCAAATGTCCACTTGCAGATTCTAGAAAAAGAGGGTTTCAGAGCTGTTCTGTCAAGAGGAAAGTTCAGTTCCTGAAGTGGAACACAAACATCACAAAGCAGTTTCTGAGAATGCTCCTGTTTCGTTTTTCTGTGAAGATGAACCCGTTTCCAACGAAATCTTCACAGAGGTCCACATATCCACTTGCAGAATCCAAAGAAAGAGAGTTTCAAAACTGCTCCATCAGCAGGATTGTTCACCTCTGTGAGTTGAATGCAGTCATCACAGGAAACATTCTGAGAATGCTTCTGTCTAGGTTTGATGTGAAGATATACCCGTTTCGAAGGAAGGCCACAAAGTGGTCCAAATATCCACTTGCAGATTCTACAAAAAGAGTGTTTGAAAGCTGAACTATGAAAGCAAGGTTCAACTCTGTGAGTTGAATGCAAACATCACAAAGAAGTTTCTCAGAATGCTTCCGTGTAGTTCTGGGAAGTTTATCCCGTTTCCAACGAAATCCTCAGAGAGGTCCAAATATCCACTTGCAGATTCTACAGAAAGTGTGTTTGGAAACTGCGCCATCTAAAGGAATGTTCAGCTCTGTTAGTTCAATGCAATGATCACTAAGGATTGTCTGTGAATGCTTCCGTTTGGTTTTTAGATGAAGTTATTTCCTTTACTACAGTAGGCCTCAAAGCAGTCCAAATCTCCAATCGCAGATTCTACAAAAAGATTGTTTACAACCTGCTCTATCTATAGGAATGTTCAACTCTGTGAGTCGAATGCAATCATCACAAAGTAGTTTCTGAGAATGCTTCCATCTAGTTTTTATGTGAAGATTTTCCTTTTCCACCACAGGCCTCAAAGCCCTCCAAATGTCCACTTGCAGATTCTAGAATAAGAGGGTTTCAGAGCTGCTCTGTCAAGAGGAAAGTTCAATTCCTGAAGTGGAACACAAACATCACAAAGCAGTTTCTGAGAATGCTCCTGTTTAGTTTTTCTGTGAAGATGAACCCGTTTCCAACGAAATCTTCACAGAGGTCCACATATCCACTTGCAGAATCCAAAGAAAGAGAGTTTCAAAACTGCTCCAACAGCAGGATTGTTCACCTCTGTGAGTTGAATGCAGTCATCACAGGAAACATTCTGAGAATGCTTCTGTCTAGGTTTGATGTGAAGATATACCCGTTTCGAAGGAAGGCCACAAAGTGGTCCAAATATCCACTTGCAGATTCTACAAAAAGAGTGTTTGAAAGCTGAACTATGAAAGCAAGGTTCAACTCTGTGAGTTGAATGCAAACATCACAAAGAAGTTTCTCAGAATGCTTCCCTGTAGTTCTGGGAAGTTTATCCCTTATCAAACGAAATCCTCAGATAAGTCCAAATATCCACTTGCAGATTCTACAGAAAGTGTGTTTGGAAACTGCTCCATCTAAAGGAATTTTCAGCTCTGTTAGTTCAATCCAATGATCACTAAGAATTGTCTGTGAATGCTTCCGTTTGGTTTTTAGATGAAGTTATTTCCTTTACTACAGTAGGCCTCAAAGCAGTCCAAATCTCCAATCGCAGATTCTACAAAAAGATTGTTAACAACCTTCTCTATCTATAGGAATGTTCAACTCGGTGAGTCGAATGCAATCATCACAAAGTAGTTTCTGAGAATGCTTCCATCTAGTTTTTATGGGAAGATTTTCCTTTTCCACCACAGGCCTCAAAGCCCTCCAAATGTCCACTTGCAGATTCTAGAAAAAGAGGGTTTCAGAGCTGCTCTGTCAAGAGGAAAGTTCAATTCTTGAAGTGGAACACAAACATCACAAAGCAGTTTCTGAGAATGCTTCTGTTTAGTTTTTCTGTGAAGATGAACCCGTTTCCAACGAAATCTTCACAGAGGTCCACATATCAACTTGCAGAATCCAAAGAAAGAGAGTTTCAAAACTGCTCCATCAACAGGATTGTTCACCTCTGTGAGTTGAATGCACTCATCACAGGAAACATTCTGAGAATGCTTCTGTCTAGGTTTGATGTGAAGATATACCCGTTTCGAAGGAAGGCCACAAAGTGGTCCAAATATCCACTTGCAGATTCTACAAAAAGAGTGTTTGAAAGCTGACCTATGAAAGCAAGGTTCAACTCTGTGAGTTGAATGCAAACATCACAAAGAAGTTTCTCAGAATGCTTCCGTGTAGTTCTGGGAAGTTTATCCCGTTTCCAACGAAATACTCAGAGAGGTCCAAATATCCACTTGCAGATTCTACAGAAAGTGGGTTTGGAAACTGCTCCATCTAAAGGAATGTTCAGCTCTGTTAGTTCAATCCAATGATCACTAAGAATTGTCTGTGAATGCTTCCGTTTGGTTTTTAGATGAAGTTATTTCCTTTACTACAGTAGGCCTCAAAGCAGTCCAAATCTCCAATCGCAGATTCTACAAAAAGATTGTTTACAACCTGCTCTATCTATAGGAATGTTCAACTCTGTGAGTCGAATGCAATCATCACAAAGTAGTTTCTGAGAATGCTTCCATCTAGTTTTTATGGGAAGATTTTCCTTTTCCACCACAGGCCTCAAAGCCCTCCAAATGTCCACTTGCAGATTCTAGAAAAAGAGGGTTTCAGAGCTGCTCTGTCAAGAGGAAAGTTCAATTCTTGAAGTGGAACACAAACATCACAAAGCAGTTTCTGAGAATGCTCCTGTTTAGTTTTTCTGTGAAGATGAACCCGTTTCCAACGAAATCTTCACAGAGGTCCACATATCCACTTGCAGAATCCAAAGAAAGAGAGTTTCAAAACTGCTCCATCAGCAGGATTGTTCACCTCTGTGAGTTGAATGCAGTCATCACAGGAAACATTCTGAGAATGCTTCTGTCTAGGTTTGATGTGAAGATATACCCGTTTCGAAGGAAGGCCACAAAGTGGTCCAAATATCCACTTGCAGATTCTACAAAAAGAGTGTTTGAAAGCTGAACTATGAAAGCAAGGTTCAACTCTGTGAGTTGAATGCAAACATCACAAAGAAGTTTCTCAGCATGCTTCCGTGTAGTTCTGGGAAGTTTATCCCGTTTCCAACGAAATCCTCAGAGAAGTCCAAATATCCACTTGCAGATTCTACAGAAAGTGTGTTTGGAAACTGCGCCATCTAAAGGAATGTTCAGCTCTGTTAGTTCAATGCAATGATCACTAAGAATTGTCTGTGAATGCTTCCGTTTGGTTTTTAGATGAAGTTATTTCCTTTACTACAGTAGGCCTCAAAGCAGTCCAAATCTCCAATCGCAGATTCTACAAAAAGATTGTTTACAACCTGCTCTATCTATAGGAATGTTCAACTCTGTGAGTCGAATGCAATCATCACAAAGTAGTTTCTGAGAATGCTTCCATCTAGTTTTTATGTGAAGATTTTCCTTTTCCACCACAGGCCTCAAAGCCCTCCAAATGTCCACTTGCAGATTCTAGAATAAGAGGGTTTCAGAGCTGCTCTGTCAAGAGGAAAGTTCAATTCCTGAAGTGGAACACAAACTTCACAAAGCAGTTTCTGAGAATGTTTCTGTTTAGTTTTTCTGTGAAGATGAACCCGTTTCCAACGAAATCTTCACAGAGGTCCACATATCCACTTGCAGAATCCAAAGAAAGAGAGTTTCAAAACTGCTCCATCAGCAGGATTGTTCACCTCTGTGAGTTGAATGCAGTCATCACAGGAAACATTCTGAGAATGCTTCTGTCTAGGTTTGATGTGAAGATATACCCGTTTCGAAGGAAGGCCACAAAGTGGTCCAAATATCCACTTGCAGATTCTACAAAAAGAGTGTTTGAAAGCTGAACTATGAAAGCAAGGTTCAACTCTGTGAGTTGAATGCAAACATCACAAAGAAGTTTCTCAGAATGCTTCCGTGTAGTTCTGGGAAGTTTATCCCGTTTCCAACGAAATCCTCAGAGAGGTCCAAATATCCACTTGCAGATTCTACAGAAAGTGTGTTTGGAAACTGCGCCATCTAAGGGAATGTTCAGCTCTATTAGTTGAATCCAATGATCACTAAGAATGGTCTGTGAATGCTTCCGTTTGGTTTTTAGATGAAGTTATTTCCTTTACTACAGTAGGCCTCAAAGCAGTCCAAATCTCCAATCGCAGATTCTACAAAAAGATTGTTTACAACCTGCTCTATGTATAGGAATGTTCAACTCTGTGAGTCGAATGCAATCATCACAAAGTAGTTTCTGAGAATGCTTCCATCTAGTTTTTATGTGAAGATTTTTTTTTCCACCACAGGCCTCAAAGCCCTCCAAATGTCCACCTGCAGATTCTAGAAAAAGAGGGGTTCAGAGCTGCTCTGTCAAGAGGAAAGTTCAATTCCTGAAGTGGAACACAAACATCACAAAGCAGTTTCTGAGAATGCTCCTGTTTAGTTTTTCTGTGTAGATGAACCCGTTTCCAACGAAATCTTCACAGAGGTCCACATATCTACTTGCAGAATCCAAAGAAAGAGAGTTTCAAAACTGCTCCATCAGCAGGATTGTTCACCTCTGTGAGTTGAATGCAGTCATCACAGGTAACATTCCGAGAATGCTTCTGTCTAGGTTTGATGTGAAGATATACCCGTTTCGAAGGAAGGCCACAAAGTGGTCCAAATATCCACTTGCAGATTCTACAAAAAGAGTGTTTGAAAGCTGAACTATGAAAGCAAGGTTCAACTCTGTGAGTTGAATGCAAACATCACAAAGAAGTTTCTCAGAATGCTTCCGTGTAGTTCTGGGAAGTTTATCCCGTTTCCAACGAAATCCTCAGAGAGGTCCAAATATCCACTTGCAGATTCTACAGAAAGTGTGTTTGGAAACTGCGCCATCTAAAGGAATGTTCAGCTGCTGTTAGTTCAATCCAATGATCACTAAGAATTGTCTGTGAATGCTTCCGTTTGGTTTTTAGATGAAGTTATTTCCTTTACTACAGTAGGCCTCAAAGCAGTCCAAATCTCCAATCGCAGATTCTACAAAAAGATTGTTTACAACCTGCTCTATCTATAGGAATGTTCAACTCTGTGAGTCGAATGCAATCATCACATAGTAGTTTCTGAGAATGCTTCCATCTAGTTTTTATGTGAAGATTTTCCTTTTCCACCACAGACCTCAAAGCCCTCCAAATGTCCACTTGCAGATTCTAGAAAAAGAGGGTTTCAGAGCTGCTCTATCAAGAGGAAAGTTCAGTTCCTGAAGTGGAACACAAACATCACAAAGCAGTTTCTGAGAATGCTTCTGTTTAGTTTTTCTGTGAAGATGAACCCGTTTCCAACGAAATCTTCACAGAGGTCCACATATCCACTTGCAGAATCCAAAGAAAGAGAGTTTCAAAACTGCTCCATCAGCAGGATTGTTCACCTCTGTGAGTTGAATGCAGTCATCACAGGAAAAATTCTGAGAATGCTTCTGTCTAGGTTTGATGTGAAGATATACCCGTTTCGAAGGAAGGCCACAAAGTGGTCCAAATATCCACTTGCAGATTCTACAAAAAGAGTGTTTGAAAGCTGAACTATGAAAGCAAGGTTCAACTCTGTGAGTTGAATGCAAACATCACAAAGAAGTTTCTCAGCATGCTTCCGTGTAGTTCTGGGAAATTTAGCCCGTTTCCAACGAAATCCTCAGAAAGGTCCAAATATCCACTTGCAGATTCTACAGAAAGTGTGTTTGGAAACTGCTCCATCTAAAGGAATGTTCAGCTCTGTTGGTTCAATCCAATGATCACTAAGAATTGTCTGTGAATGCTTCCGTTTGGTTTTTAGATGAAGTTATTTCCTTTACTACAGTAGGCCTCAAAGCAGTCCAAATCTCCAATCGCAGATTCTACAAAAAGATTGTTTACAACCTGCTCTATCTATAGGAATGTTCAACTCTGTGAGTCGAATGCAATCATCACAAAGTAGTTTCTGAGAATGCTTCCATCTAGTTTTTATGTGAAGATTTTCCTTTTCCACCACAGGCCTCAAAGCCCTCCAAATGTCCACTTGCAGATTCTAGAATAAGAGGGTTTTAGAGCTGCTCTGTCAAGAGGAAAGTTCAATTCCTGAAGTGGAACACAAACATCACAAAGCAGTTTCTGAGAATGCTCCTGTTTAGTTTTTCTGTGAAGATGAACCCGTTTCCAACGAAATCTTCACAGAGGTCCACATATCCACTTGCAGAATCCAAAGAAAGAGAGTTTCAAAACTGCTCCATCAGCAGGATTGTTCACCTCTGTGAGTTGAATGCAGTCATCACAGGAAACATTCTGAGAATGCTTCTGTCTAGGTTTGATGTGAAGATATACCCGTTTCGAAGGAAGGCCAGAAAGTGGTCCAAATATCCACTTGCAGATTCTACAAAAAGAGTGTTTGAAAGCTGAACTATGAAAGCAAGGTTCAACTCTGTGAGTTGAATGCAAACATCACAAAGAAGTTTCTCAGAATGCTTCCGTGTAGTTCTGGGAAGTTTATCCCTTTTCCAACGAAATCCTCAGAGAGGTCCAAATATCCACTTGCAGAATCTACAGAAAGTGTGTTTGGAAACTGCTCCATCTAAAGGAATGTTCAGCTCTGTTAGTTCAATCCAATGATCACTAAGAATTCTCTGTGAATGCTTCCGTTTGGTTTTTAGATGAAGTTATTTCCTTTACTACAGTAGGCCTCAAAGCAGTCCAAATCTCCAATCGCAGATTCTACAAAAAGATTGTTTACAACCTGCTCTATCTATAGGAATGTTCAACTCTGTGAGTCGAATGCAATCATCACAAAGTAGTTTCTGAGAATGCTTCCATCTAGTTTTTATGTGAAGATTTTCCTTTTCCACCACAGGCCTCAAAGCCCTCCAAATGTCCACTTGCAGATTCTAGAAAAAGAGGGTTTCAGAGCTGCTCTGTCAAGAGGAAAGTTCAATTCTTGAAGTGGAACACAACCATCACAAAGCAGTTTCTGAGAATGCTTCTGTTTAGTTTTTCTGTGAAGATGAACCCGTTTCCAACGAAATCTTCACAGAGGTCCACATATCAACTTGCAGAATCCAAAGAAAGAGAGTTTCAAAAGTGCTCCATCAACAGGATTGTTCACCTCTGTGAGTTGAATGCAGTCATCACAGGAAACATTCTGAGAATGCTTCTGTCTAGGTTTGATGTGAAGATATACCCGTTTCGAAGGAAGGCCACAAAGTGGTCCAAATATCCACTTGCAGATTCTACAAAAAGAGTGTTTGAAAGCTGAACTATGAAAGCAAGGTTCAACTCTGTGAGTTGAATGCAAACATCACAAAGAAGTTTCTCAGAATGCTTCCGTGTAGTTCTGGGAAGTTTAGCCCGTTTCCAACGAAATCCTCAGAGAGGTCCAAATATCCACTTGCAGATTCTACAGAAAGTGTGTTTGGAAACTGCGCCATCTAAAGGAATGTTCAGCTCTGTTAGTTCAATCCAATGATCACTAAGAATTGTCTGTGAATGCTTCCGTTTGGTTTTTAGATGAAGTTATTTCCTTTACTACAGTAGGCCTCAAAGCAGTCCAAATCTCCAATCGCAGATTCTACAAAAAGATTGTTTACAACCTGCTCTATCTATAGGAATGTTCAACTCTGTGAGTCGAATGCAATCATCACAAAGTAGTTTCTGAGAATGCTTCCATCTAGTTTTTATGTGAAGATTTTCCTTTTCCACCACAGGCCTCAAAGCCCTCCAAATGTCCACTTGCAGATTCTAGAAAAAGAGGGTTTCAGAGCTGCTCTTTCAAGAGGAAAGTTCAATTCCTGAAGTGGAACACAAACATCACAAAGCAGTTTCTGAGAATGCTCCTGTTTAGTTTTTCTGTGAAGATGAACCCGTTTCCAACGAAATCTTCACAGAGGTCCACATATCCACTTGCAGAATCCAAAGAAAGAGAGTTTCAAAACTGCTCCATCAGCAGGATTGTTCACCTCTGTGAGTTGAATGCAGTCATCACAGGAAACATTCTGAGAATGCTTCTGTCTATGTTTGATGTGAAGATATACCCGTTTCGAAGGAAGGCCACAAAGTGGTCCAAATATCCACTTGCAGATTCTACAAAAAGAGTGTTTGAAAGCTGAACTATGAAAGCAAGGTTCAACTCTGTGAGTTGAATGCAAACATCACAAAGAAGTTTCTCACAATGCTTCCGTGTAGTTCTGGGAAGTTTATCCCGTTTCCAACGAAATCCTCAGAGAAGTCCAAATATCCACTTGCAGATTCTACAGAAAGTGTGTTTGGAAACTGCTCCATCTAAAGGAATGTTCAGCTCTGTTAGTTCAATCCAATGATCACTAAGAATTGTCTGTGAATGCTTCCGTTTGGTTTTTAGATGACGTTATTTCCTTTACTACAGTAGGCCTCAAAGCAGTCCAAATCTCCAATCGCAGATTCTACAAAAAGATTGTTTACAACCTGCTCTATCTATAGGAATGTTCAACTCTGTGAGTCGAATGCAATCATCACAAAGTAGTTTCTGAGAATGCTTCCATCTAGTTTTTATGTGAAGATTTTCCTTTTCCACCACAGGCATCAAAGCCCTCCAAATGTCCAGTTGCAGATTCTAGAAGAAGAGGGTTTCAGAGCTGCTCTGTCAAGAGGAAAGTTCAATTCCTGAAGTGGAACACAAACATCACAAAGCAGTTTCTGAGAATGCTTCTGTTTAGTTTTTCTGTGAAGATGAACCCGTTTCCAACGAAATCTTCACAGAGGTCCACATATCCACTTGCAGAATCCAAAGAAAGAGAGTTTCAAAACTACTCCATCAACAGGATTGTTCACCTCTGTGAGTTGAATGCAGTCATCACAGGAAACATTCTGAGAATGCTTCTGTCTAGGTTTGATGTGAAGATATACCCTTTTCGAAGGAAGGCCACAAAGTGGTCCAAATATCCACTTGCAGATTCTACAAAAAGAGTGTTTGAAAGCTGAACTATGAAAGCAAGGTGCAAATCCTGTGAGTTGAATGCAAACATCACAAAGAAGTTTCTCAGAATGCTTTCCGTGTAGTTCTGGGAAGTATATCCCGTTTCCAACGAAATCCTCAGAGAGGTCCAAATATCCACTTGCAGATTCTACAGAAAGTGGGTTTGGAAA
Organism: Homo sapiens; assembly: GCF_000001405.40. Lineage (NCBI taxonomy): Eukaryota > Metazoa > Chordata > Mammalia > Primates > Hominidae > Homo > Homo sapiens. Next base: position 53,382,335 of record NC_000011.10, on the reverse strand, counting down.
CTGCTCCATCTAAAGGAATGTTCAGCTCTGTTAGTTCAATCCAATGATCACTAAGAATTGTACTGTGAATGCTTCCGTTTGGTTTTTAGATGAAGTTATTTCCTTTACTACAGTAGGCCTCAAAGCAATCCAAATCTCCAATCGCAGATTCTACAAAAACATTGTTTACAACCTGCTCTATCTATAGGAATGTTCAACTGCTGTGAGTCGAATGCAATCATCACAAAGTAGTTTGCTGAGAATGCTTCCATCTAGTTTTTATGTGAAGATTTTCCTTTTCCACCACAGGCCTCAAAGCCCTCCAAATGTCCACTTGCAGATTCTAGAAAAAGAGGGTTTCAGAGCTGCTCTGTCAAGAGGAAAGTTCAATTCTTGAAGTGGAACACAAACATCACAAAGTAGTTTCTGAGAATGCTTCTGTTTAGTTTTTCTGTGAAGATGAACCCGTTTCCAACGAAATCTTCACAGAGGTCCACATATCAACTTGCAGAATCCAAAGAAAGAGAGTTTCAAAACTGCTCCATCAACAGGATTGTTCACCTCTGTGAGTTGAATGCAGTCATCACAGGCAAACATTCTGAGAATGCTTCTGTCTAGGTTTGATGTGAAGATATACCCGTTTCGAAGGAAGGCCACAAAGTGGTCCAAATATCCACTTGCAGATTCTACAAAAAGAGTGTTTGAAAGCTGAACTATGAAAGCAAGGTTCAACTCTGTGAGTTGAATGCAAACATCACAAAGAAGTTTCTCAGAATGCTTCCGTGTAGTTCTGGGAAGTTTATCCCGTTTCCAACGAAATCCTAAGAGAAGTCCAAATATCCACTTGCAGATTCTACAGAAAGTGTGTTTGGAAACTGCTCCATCTAAAGGAATGTTCAGCTCTGTTAGTTGAATGCAATGATCACTAAGAATTGTCTGTGAATGCTTCCGTTTGGTTTTTAGATGAAGTTATTTCCTTTACTACAGTAGGCCTCAAAGCAGTCCAAATCTCCAATCGCAGATTCTACAAAAAGATTGTTTACAACCTGCTCTATCTATAGGAATGTTCAACTCTGTGAGTCGAAAGCCATCATCACAAAGTAGTTTCTGAGAATGCTTCCATCTAGTTTTTATGTGAAGATTTTCCTTTTCCACCACAGGCCTCAAAGCCCTCCAAATGTCCACTTGCAGATTCTAGAATAAGAGGGTTTTAGAGCTGCTCTGTCAAGAGGAAAGTTCAATTCCTGAAGTGGAACACAAACATCACAAAGCAGTTTCTGAGAATGCTTCTGTTTAGTTTTTCTGTGAAGATGAACCCGTTTCCAACGAAATCTTCACAGAGGTCCACATATCCACTTGCAGAATCCAAAGAAAGAGAGTTTCAAAACTGCTCCATCAGCAGGATTGTTCACCTCTGTGAGTTGAATGCAGTCATCACAGGAAACATTCTGAGAATGCTTCTGTCTAGGTTTGATGTGAAGATATACCCGTTTCGAAGGAAGGCCACAAAGTGGTCCAAATATCCACTTGCAGATTCTACAAAAAGAGTGTTTGAAAGCTGAACTATGAAAGCAAGGTTCAACTCTGTGAGTTGAATGCAAACATCCCAAAGAAGTTTGTCAGAATACTTCCGTGTAGTTCTGGGAAGTTTATCCCGTTTCCAACGAAATCCTCAGAGAAGTCCAAATATCCACTTGCAGATTCTTCAGAAAGTGGGTTTGGAAACTGCTCCATCTAAAGGAATGTTCAGATCTGTTAGTTCAATCCAATGATCACTAAGAATTGTCTGTGAATGCTTCCGTTTGGTTTTTAGATGAAGTTATTTCCTTTACTACAGTAGGCCTCAAAGCAGTCCAAATCTCCAATCGCAGATTCTACAAAAAGATTGTTTACAACGTACTCTATCTGTACGAATGTTCAACTCTGTGGGTCGAATGCAATCATCACAAAGTAGTTTCTGAGAATGCTTCCATCTAGTTTTTATGTGAAGATTTTCCTTTTCCACCACAGGCCCCAAAGCCCTCCAAATGTCCACTGGCAGATTCTAGAAAAAGAGGGTTTCAGAGCTGCTCTGTCAAGAGGAAAGTTCAATTCTTGAAGTGGAACACAAACATCACAAAGCAGTTTCTGAGAATGCTTCTGTTTAGTTTTTCTGTGAAGATGAACCAGTTTCCAACGAAATCTTCACAGAGGTCCACATATCAACTTGCAGAATCCAAAGAAAGAGAGTTACAAAACTGCTCCATCAACAGGATTGTTCACCTCTGTGAGTTGAATGCAGTCATCACAGGAAACATTCTGAGAATGCTTCTGTCTAGGTTTGATGTGAAGATATACCCGTTTCGAAGGAAGGCCACAAAGTGGTCCAAATATCCACTTGCAGATTCTACAAAAAGAGTGTTTGAAAGCTGAACTATGAAAGCAAGGTTCAACTCTGTGAGTTGAATGCAAACATCACAAAGAAGTTTCTCAGAATGCTTCCGTGTAGTTCTGGGAAGTTTATCCCGTTTCCAACGAAATCCTCAGAGAGGTCCAAATATCCACTTGCAGATTCTACAGAAAGTGTGTTTGGAAACTGCGCCATCTAAAGGAATGTTCAGCTCTGTTAGTTCAATGCAATGATCACTAAGAATTGTCTGTGAATGCTTCCGTTTGGTTTTTAGATGAAGTTATTTCCTTTACTACAGTAGGCCTCAAAGCAGTCCAAATCTCCAATCGCAGATTCTACAAAAAGATTGTTTACAACCTGCTCTATCTATAGGAATGTTCAACTCTGTGAGTCGAATGCAATCATCACAAAGTAGTTTCTGAGAATGCTTCCATCTAGTTTTTATGTGAAGATTTTCCTTTTCCACCACAGGCCTCAAAGCCCTCCAAATGTCCACTTGCAGATTCTAGAAAAAGAGGGTTTCAGAGCTGCTCTGTCAAGAGGAAAGTTCAATTCTTGAAGTGGAACACAAACATCACAAAGCAGTTTCTGAGAATGCTCCTGTTTAGTTTTTCTATGAAGATGAACCCGTTTCCAACGAAATCTTCACAGAGGTCCACATATCCACCTGCAGAATCCAAAGAAAGAGAGTTTCAAAACGGCTCGATCAACAGGATTGTTCACCTCTGTGAGTTGAATGCAGTCATCACAGGAAACATTCTGAGAATGCTTCTGTCTAGGTTTGATGTGAAGATATACCCGTTTCGAAGGAAGGCCACAAAGTGGTCCAAATATCCACTTGCAGATTCTACAAAAAGAGTGTTTGAAAGCTGAACTATGAAAGCAAGGTTCACCTCTGTGAGTTGAATGCAAACATCACAAAGAAGTTTCTCAGAATGCTTCCGTGTAGTTCTGGGAAGTTTATCCCGTTTCCAACGAAATCCTCAGAGAGGTCCAAATATCCACTTGCATATTCTACAGAAAGTGTGTTTGGAAACTGCGCCATCTAAGGGAATGTTCAGCTCTGTTAGTTCAATCCAATGATCACTAAGAATTTTCTGTGAATGCTTCCGTTTGGTTTTTAGATGAAGTTATTTCCTTTACTACAGTAGGCCTCAAAGCAGTCCAAATCTCCAATCGCAGATTCTACAAAAAGATTGTTTACAACCTGCTCTATCTATAGGAATGTTCAACTCTGTGAGTCGAATGCAATCATCACAAAGTAGTTTCTGAGAATGCTTCCATCTAGTTTTTATGTGAAGATTTTCCTTTTCCACCACAGGCCTCAAAGCCCTCCAAATGTCCACTTGCAGATTCTAGAAAAAGAGGGTTTCAGAGCTGCTCTGTCAAGAGGAAAGTTCAATTCTTGAAGTGGAACACAAACATCACAAAGCAGTTTCTGAGAATGCTTCTGTTTAGTTTTTCTGTGAAGATGAACCCGTTTCCAACGAAATCTTCACAGAGGTCCACATATCCACTTGCAGAATCCAAAGAAAGAGAGTTTCAAAACTGCTCCATCAGCAGGATTGTTCACCTCTGTGAGTTGAATGCAGTCATCACAGGAAACATTCTGAGAATGCTTCTGTCTAAGTTTGATGTGAAGATATACCCGTTTCGAAGGAAGGCCACAAAGTGGTCCAAATATCCACTTGCAGATTCTACAAAAAGAGTGTTTGAAAGCTGAACTATGAAAGCAAGGTTCAACTCTGTGAGTTGAATGCAAACATCACAAAGAAGTTTCTCACAATGCTTCCGTGTAGTTCTGGGAAGTTTATCCCGTTTCCAACGAAATCCTCAGAGAAGTCCAAATATCCACTTACAGATTCTACAGAAAGTGTGTTTGGAAACTGCTCCATCTAAAGGAATGTTCAGCTCTGTTAGTTCAATCCAATAGATCACTAAGAATTGTCTGTGAATGCTTCCGTTTGGTTTTTAGATGAAGTTATTTCCTTTACTACAGTAGGCCTCAAAGCAGTCCAAATCTCCAATCGCAAGAATCTACAAAAAGATTGTTTACAACCTGCTCTATTCTATAGGAATGTTCAACTCTGTGAGTCGAATGCAATCATCACAAAGTAGTTTCTGAGAATGCTTCCATCTAGTTTTTATGTGAAGATTTTCCTTTTCCACCACAGGCCTCAAAGTCCTCCAAATGTACACTTGCTGATTCTAGAAAAAGAGGGTTTCAGAGCTGCTCTGTCAAGAGGAAAGTTCAATTCTTGAAGTGGAACACAAACATCACAAAGCAGTTTCTGAGAATGCTCCTGTTTAGTTTTTCTGTGAAGATGAACCCGTTTCCAACGAAATCTTCACAGAGGTCCACATATCCACTTGCAGAATCCAAAGAAAGAGAGTTTCAAAACTGCTCCATCAGCAGGATTGTTCACCTCTGTGAGTTGAATGCAGTCATCACAGGAAACATTCTGAGAATGCTTCCTGTCTAGGTTTGATGTGAAGATATACCCGTTTCGAAGGAAGGCCACAAAGTGGTCCAAATATCCACTTGCAGATTCTACAAAAAGAGTGTTTGAAAGCTGAACTATGAAAGCAAGGTTCAACTCTGTGAGTTGAATGCAAACATCACAAAGAAGTTTCTCAGAATGCTTTCCCGTGTAGTTCTGGGAAGTTTATCCCGTTTCCAACGAAATCCTCAGAGAAGTCCAAATATCCACTTGCAGATTCTGCAGAAAGTGTGTTTGGAAACTGCTCCATCTAAAGGAATGTTCAGCTCTGTTAGCCCAATCCAATGATCACTAAGAATTGTCTGTGAATGCTTCTGTTTGGTTTTTAGATGAAGTTATTTCCTTTACTACAGTAGGCCTCAAAACAGTCCAAATCTCCAATCGCATATTCTACAAAAAGATTGTTTACAACCTGCTCTATCTATAGGAATGTTCAACTCTATGAGTCGAATGCAGTCATCACAAAGTAGTTTCTGAGAATGCTTCCATCTAGTTTTTATGTGAAGATTTTCCTTTTCCACCACAGGCCTCAAAGCCCTCCAAATGTCCACTTGCAGATTCTAGAATAAGAGGGTTTCAGAGCTGCTCTGTCAAGAGGAAAGTTCAATTCCTGAAGTGGAACACAAACATCACAAAGCAGTTTCTGAGAATGCTTCTGTTTAGTTTTTCTGTGAAGATGAACCCGTTTCCAACGAAATCTTCACAGAGGTCCACATATCCACTTGCAGAATCCAAAGAAGGAGAGTTTCAAAACTGCTCCATCAGCAGGATTGTTCACCTCTGTGAGTTGAATGCAGTCATCACAGGAAACATTCTGAGAATGCTTCTGTCTAGGTTTGATGTGAAGATATACCCGTTTCGAAGGAAGGCCACAAAGTGGTCCAAATATCCACTTGCAGATTCTACAAAAAGAGTGTTTGAAAGCTGGACTATGAAAGCAAGGTTCAACTCTGTGAGTTGAATGCAAACATCACAAAGAAGTTTCTCAGAATGCTTCCGTGTAGTTCTGGGAAGTTTATCCCGTTTCCAACGAAATCCTCAGAGAGGTCCAAATATCCACTTGCAGATTCTACAGAAAGTGTGTTTGGAAACTGCGCCATCTAAGGGAATGTTCAGCTCTGTTAGTTCAATCCAATGATCACTAAGAATTGTCTGTGAATGCTTCCGTTTGGTTTTTAGATGAAGTTATTTCCTTTACTACAGTAGGCCTCAAAGCAGTCCAAATCTCCAATCGCAGATTCTACAAAAAGATTGTTTACAACCTGCTCTATCTATAGGAATGTTCAACTCTGTGAGTCGAATGCAATCATCACAAAGTAGTTTCTGAGAATGCTTCCATCTAGTTTTTATGTGAAGATTTTCCTTTTCCACCACAGGCCTCAAAGCCCTCCAAATGTCCACTTGCAGATTCTAGAAAAAGAGGGTTTCAGAGCTGCTCTGTCAAGAGGAAAGTTCAATTCTTGAAGTGGAACACAAACATCACAAAGCAGTTTCTGAGAATGCTCCTGTTTAGTTTTTCTGTGAGGATGAACCCGTTTCCAACGAAATCTTCACAGAGGTCCACATATCCACTTGCAGAATCCAAAGAAAGAGAGTTTCAAAACTGCTCCATCAGCAGGATTGTTCACCTCTGTGAGTTGAATGCAGTCATCACAGGAAACATTCTGAGAATGCTTCTGTCTAGGTTTGACGTGAACATATACCCGTTTCGAAGGAAGGCCACAAAGTGGTCCAAATATCCACTTGCAGATTCTACAAAAAGAGGGTTTGAAAGCTGAACTATGAAAGCAAGGTTCAACTCTGTGAGTTGAATGCAAACATCACAAAGAAGTTTCTCACAATGCTTCCCTGTAGTTCTGGGAAGTTTATCCCGTTTCCAACGAAATCCTCAGAGAAGTCCAAATATCCACTTGCAGATTCTACAGAAAGTGTGTTTGGAAACTGCTCCATCTAAAGGAATGTTCAGCTCTGTTAGTTCAATCCAATGATCACTAAGAATTGTCTGTGAATGCTTCCGTTTGGTTTTTACATGAAGTTATTTCCTTTACTACAGTAGGCCTCAAAGCAGTCCGAATCTCCAATCGCAGATTCTACAAAAAGATTGTTTACAACCTGCTCTATCTATAGGAATGTTCAACTCTGTGAGTCGAATGCAATCATCACAAAGTAGTTTCTGAGAATGCTTCCATCTAGTTTTTATGTGAAGATTTTCCTTTTCCACCACAGGCCTCAAAGCCCTCCAAATGTCCACTTGCAGATTCTAGAATAAGAGGGTTTCAGAGCTGCTCTGTCAAGAGGAAAGTTCAATTCCTGAAGTGGAACACAAACATCACAAAGCAGTTTCTGAGAATGCTTCTGTTTAGTTTTTCTGTGAAGATGAACCCGTTTCCAACGAAATCTTCACAGAGGTCCACATATCAACTTGCAGAATCCAAAGAAAGAGAGTTTCAAAACTGCTCCATCAACAGGATTGTTCACCTCTGTGAGTTGAATGCAGTCATCACAGGAAACATTCTGAGAATGCTTCTGTCTAGGTTTGATGTGAAGATATACCCGTTTCGAAGGAAGGCCACAAAGTGGTCCAAATATCCACTTGCAGATTCTACAAAAAGAGTGTTTGAAAGCTGAACTATGAAAGCAAGGTTCAACTCTGTGAGTTGAATGCAAACATCACAAAGAAGTTTCTCACAATGCTTCCGTGTAGTTCTGGGAAGTTTATCCCGTTTCCAACGAAATCCTCGGAGAAGTCCAAATATCCACTTGCAGATTCTACAGAAAGTGGGTTTGGAAACTGCTCCATCTAAAGGAATGTTCAGCTCTGTTAGTTCAATCCAATGATCACTAAGAATTGTCTGTGAATGCTTCCGTTTGGTTTTTAGATGAAGTTATTTCCTTTACTACAGTAGGCCTCAAAGCCGTCTAAATCTCCAATCGCAGATTCTACAAAAAGATTGTTTACAACCTGCTCTATCTATAGGAATGTTCAACTCTGTGAGTCGAATGCAATCATCACAAAGGAGTTTCTGAGAATGCTTCCATCTAGTTTTTATGTGAAGATTTTCCTTTTCCACCACAGGCCTCAAAGCCCTCCAAATGTCCACTTGCAGATTCTAGAATAAGAGGGTTTCAGAGCTGCTCTGTCAAGAGGAAAGTTCAATTCCTGAAGTGGAACACAAACATCACAAAGCAGTTTCTGAGAATGCTTCTG